>NC_000022.11:33255018-33406533 GCF_000001405.40 Homo sapiens | reverse complement strand
GACAAACAGTGAGGGTGTGTGCGTTCAAGTCAAAACATGGATGTTTCATCACACAGGCTTCTTTGAACTCTGTCTCGGTGTGGTAGTAAGCAGGAAATCCTGCAAGCTCTCAAGACGGAGAGGATAGGAGAAAAATCCCAAGATGCAAATCGGGCAGAGGTCATTGTTTAAGGAGCAGCTTTGTGGGTCGGATCTCAAGGGATGGGACTGCGCAGAATGTTGGACAGAATGGGGAAGGGAAGACCTGCAGGTGGAGGGGGCACGCCAGGCTGTGGAATGGGTGTGGCCAGGCAAGTCTGGGTATACACGGCGGGAAGAGCCGTGGTCATAGAGGAAGCCTTACTACTGGACTTCAGAGAAGAATGGAGTCACCACTCACTTGCTTTAGGTCTGGAGACCTAATGAGAATGTATCATCAGATTCCCATACCTGTTTCTACCAACCACATATTCAGCCTGGTTTCAAAGTTTATTTCTGGTTTCCAAGTTCTTTGGATTGAATCTATACTACTGATTGGATAAGACTGAGGAAATGTATGTGTTAATGGAAATGGCAATGCATTCCTATTGCAGTTGTTAATCTTTCCGAAGATTCCAGACTCTGATTTTTAATGGTCTTCATTTATTCTAATGAGTTAACGTAACCACAGATTAGTAAACAGGGACTATCGATCTTCACAGAGCGTAAGGAAGGAATTTACACGTAGTAAGGGCCCATTGTTGTACTAAAATCACCACTGACTTTTCGTTCAGCATTGACTCTGCACCAGGCCCTGTGCTAAGTGCTTCCTGTGCTTTCTCTCATTTAATGCCCACTACATCGTTTGTAAGGATCGTTACACCATTTATTCAAAATCTCACTATTTGTCGGCAGCAAAGTCAAGACTGGAACATGGAGCATTCCGTATTGAAAGCAGAAGGCTCCTGCCCCTGTAGTGCCTTAAGTATGTGGTCTGTTGAAATCTTCACTCCCCACCTAGAAAAAAAGGAAAAGAAGGAAGAAAGAAATTACACATAGTAATGTTGATTACTCCCTAAAGTAATTAACCAGGATTGTGTAATGAATGACAACAGAGACAGACCTCTCTGATGAGGTGACAGTTTAGCCGAGATCTGAAGCGTGTCCTGAAGCCAGCCACACACTTGGCCAGAGAACAAGAATGTAGCAGCCCTGATGTGGGCTCCAGCTTGGCCTGTTCTGGAACTGACAGGTGGGAGGCTGGAAGGAGGAACTTGAGTTGAGACTGGGGAGCTAGGCTAGAGCTTCCTGGGCCATGATACAATGACACAGAATTTGCATTTTGTTCTGTAACACACTGGCAAAGACGGCACTTGGCTGAGAATATCCATGAGCTTTTGAACAGTAGCAATCATGCAATGTCCTTGTAGGGATCTACTGAATGCAGGACGATCTTTCTCCCTAGAAAGAAAGAAAGAAACAAAGACAAAAATAAAGGACACAGAGCTTAGGACGGTCCCATGACCTTAAAAGCCAACAAGAGGACAGCAAACTCCTTTATGCTCCTCTTCCCCACTACCCAATGCAGAAGTGCAGAGTCCTTCGAACTGGGAGCCTCTTTTGTGGCCGTGATGACTAAGAATCACCCTGGATAATTGCTCAGGTATAGCTTTCACCACACTTTCCTTCCCCCCCACTGAACAGAAGCAAAATTCCTTGCTAGGGAGAAAGTTCACCCTGTACTCAGTAGATACTGCAAAGTTTGGCTCCAACCCCCTTCCCCCTTACTTGGGGGTTATTGAATACTGCAAAAGTGATCAAGGAAAGTACATTTATCACTCTTGCCTCAAAGCTTGAGCCAGGATAATTTTGCACATTCTGTTTAAACGATTGACACGAGAAAGCTGGATTTAGTTCTCCCTTCTTACTTCCCAGCACTAAATGCACACCTCGCTAATCCAATTTCTAGGAAATCCTCCCTTGTGAGCAGGACAGCCTGTGGGTTTGCCCAGATCAGGCTGGCAGAGGGTAGATAGGCTCGTTTGTGGGAGCACGTTCAGACCCCAAGGATTACTGTGGCCTTATGGCTGCCAGAGCCACTTTCTATTAGGTAGGGGGCCTTTATGTGCCCCCAGAAATAATGTTAATAGTCCTAGCTAACATTTATTGAGCACTGGTTATAAATGTGGCATTGCAAATGGATTATGATCTTATTTAATTTTCAAAACAGCCTAGGAGGCAGGCACTCCTTGCTGTTTTTCCAATTTATCAGCTGGCTTAAGGGCCTTTGCACTTGTGGCTAATTCTGCCTAAGTTCCTCCTCCTTATCAGCATGGCATGCTACCTCGCCTCCTGCAGATCCTGTCTTAAATATCATCTTCTTGGAAAAGTCTTCGCTGACCACTGGTTGAAAATTTCACCACATCTCCCAGCTGAGCTTTCTTTATCTCCCCTCCCTGCTTTGTTCTTATCATACAATAGACTATATGTTTAACCTACTTACTTGTTTATCCCTCTTCTGTTAGCACATAGGCTTCCCGAGGACTATGATTTCTATTTTCAGATGGGTTCTGGTACATAGGAGACTTGCAGAAGATACTGGTCTAAGGAAAAACATAATATCATCATAACTATTTTGCAAACTAGGAAAGAGAAGTTTATAGAAATGAGCTAGTATGGGCCGGGCGCGGTGGCTCACGCCTGTAATCCCAACGCTTTGGGAGGTGGGTGGATCGCCTGAGATCAGGAGTTCGAGACAAGCCTGGCCAACATGACAAAACCCCGTCTCTACTAAAAATACAAAAATTAGCCAGGCGTGGTGGCAGGCACTTGTAATCCCAGCTACTCGGGAGGCTGAGGCAGGAGAATCGCTTGAACCCAAGAGGCAGAGGTTGCAGTGAGCCGAGATCGCGCCACTACACTCCAGCCTGGGTGACAAGGACGAAACTCCGTCTCAAAAAAAAAAGAAAAGAAATGAGCCGGTATGGTCCAGGTAAGACCGAAAACAAGTAGCAGACTAGAATTAACCTAGGCCTCAGACCTTCTAAGTGTTTACAACACTGCAGAACCAGCACGTGGCCAAATACAAAGCCATCCGTGGAACTGTGGTTGTGCTGGGAAATAAGGAGACACTACTCCCTATTACTCCCATTAAAATGTTCTTTTGAAATCAACTTAGTCCTTCAGGATGACAGTTATTGATGTTAACACAAGTGGAATTTTTTAGCCCCTCTTCTGCACTAGGACTCTGCTTGTTGAGATCCAGAGGAAATAAGTTATGGTCTCATCTCTCTGCAAGCTCACTCCAGTTCATTGCCAATGCAGGAGCTTATACTTGTATTGAGTAGACCTACTGTATGGCACATACCGTGCAGGAAGCTGTGGGTATGGAGTCAGTAACACACACCACTGCCCTCTGGGAGCTCAGAGTTTGGTGCCACAAAGCACCTACAATAACTGCAGCTCTGAAAGGCACAGATGTAGATTGTACTATGTAGTATTTTGTTGTTGTTGTTGTTTGTTTTGTTTTTTACAGCCATAGCCCTGTAAGTCATATTCCACATCACCCCATAGGCATCAGTATTAGAAAACGCATGGATTTTGGAACAAGTGAAACTGGATTTGAATCTGGGTTGTCACTTGCTAATTGCTTACTCGATCTTTCTGTGATGTTATAAGGAATAGAGTTAATAGGCATGCCTAGTGCCTGGGTCCTAGTAAGCTGCTGCCATCACCGTTAGCTCTCAGTATCATCATTATTATTGTTCTGCCTCTGGGTCACAGTGAGTGGTGAATTCAGTGCCTACAGGTCAATAGGAAGAAACTAGTTTGGTTAAAAATATACCCCAGGTAATAACAATAGTCCCTTATTTAATTAAGACTAACGTGTATTAGTCACTGTGCTATGCTGAGTATTTCGTTATCTTATTTGATTCTCCCAACAGTCCTATAAGTTATGATGAATATCCATTTTGCAGAAGAGTACCATAAAGCACAGAGCAGTTATTAAGTAACCTGCCCAAGGTCATGCGTGCTGTGTGGGTAGATGCTAGGACCCTGACCCTTGATTTTTTTGCTCAGCTGCCCCAGGTCATCAAAGTGTGCACTGGGGAGGTGACTGTATTCTTGCTGTCATTCCCAAATTAGTCAGAGAAGCAGCAAAAAGTACCAAATCTAGCATCAAGAGGCTTTTATTCAAGCCTGTATTCTGCCACTGCATAAGCTTCCTGACCTCAGGCTGCTGACCTCACTCCGAAGTCTTGGTTTCCTCATCTATAAAATGAAGACGTTGACTTAGTGATGCCCAGCCCCTGGGCCTCTGGTTCTGGGATATGGCTCTTTCATTCATCACACAGCAGACCTACCAAAGCCAATGTCATCAGAGTTAGAAAGACCTCAGCTGAAACCCCAGCTCTGCCACTCACCAGCTGTATGACCTCTCCGAGCCTCAGTTTCCTTGTTTGTAAAAACAAGCATAAACATACCAATTTCATGGGGCTGTTACAAGGACTCACTGAAATAACATAACAATCAGGATCCCATCAAGAAGACATCTGCCCTTGGAAGTCAGCATATTTGAATGAAGGGACTGCATATGGGGGTGAATGGGCAGGATTGAAGGCATCAGCAAGGGATGCTGGGGCACCCAGGGACTAGCCAAAGCTGAGAGCTGGTACCAGTTCTGGGCTGAGAGATGTGTGTTAGTTTGCTAGGGCTGCCGTAACAAAATACCACAGACTGGGTGGCTTAAACAACATAGATTTATTTTTTTCTCACAGTTCTAGAAGCTAGAAGTCTGGGACCAAGGTATTGACAAGGTTGGTTTTATCGCACCCTTCTCTCCTTGGCTTCTATATAGATGCTTCCTCTCCCTACGTCTATAATCTCACTTCTGCGCATGTCTGCCTCCTAATTGCTTCTTCACATGAGGGCACCAGTCCTATTGGATTAGCCTGAGACAGCACTGCAGAGCCTCTTCATGGAGGGTGAAGCCCCACAGGCTATATACCAGCTACTAAAAAAATGGCTACCACTCTCTAAACAGAAATCTGATCTGCTGACTGGCTGGTTGGCATGGAGATTTTCTTTTTCTTTTTATTTTTTTTATGACTAATGGGCTGGCCTCTCCTCATCAATCTGGCTAGATGCTTCACAGCACACGAGGATGTCTCATTTGCCTCCCAAGAAGGACGAGACAGCGTGGATGGCCAAGCATTTCTGACCAGTTGATTGGACATTGGTCACCCGTCTGACCTCATTTTAACTTAACTACCTTTTTAAAGACCCTGTTTCCAAATTCAGTCCCATTCTGAGGTTGCTGGGGATTAGAGCTTCAACAGATGAATTTGGAGGAGGACACAATCAACTCATAACAAGATACAAAGGGAAGCAATAATGGTGCCAGAAGCCACTGAAGGCTTGAACCATGGAGATGGCTGCCAAGCAGAGACTGAAGTGGAGGACACAGCCATTGCTGGGAACGTTGCCCACCCACATGCGAGAGTGTGCGAGGGAGAAACACACTCTCTTTCCTCCCACCCTCCAAGCTGTTGCCAAAGCTTCCGATCAGGAACCAGCCACCAGGGGATGCCAGGTGATCCCAGGGCACAGAGAAGGGCAGAGTATGGACCTGGGAGTGGAAAAACTGAGAATATGTGTCTGGCACAGAAGGGGCACTCACGAAGTGTTCATCCTTCTCACCTCATAAATGAGGAATTAAAGTAGAGAAGACACCTGTGACCTCTGCACACCTCCCTGAATGTGTTTTCAGCGTCTGCTTTTTTTCTGAGCATGCGAATGAGTGAATAATGAAGGCATACTCAGTTGTGCCCTTCCATGCAGACTCACTTTGTTTAAGCTGGAAGTTGCAGAAAGCTTCCTGCCCTTTCGGCTGTTTAGGAGCTCCACATTCCAGCAGGTGCCAGCACATGTTCAACTGGTCAGAGCTGCTCGGCCATCCACGCCATCTCTCCCTTCTGGGGAGGGAAATGAGACATCATCGTGTGCCGTGAAGCATCTAGCCAGACTGATAGAGAGAGGCAGATTCATTATTTGTTAAAAATTTAAAATATCCATACCATCCAACAAACTGGCCAGCAGATCTGACTTCTGTTCAGAGTTGCAGCCATTTTTCGGTAGCTGGTATATAGCCCATGGGGTGTCAGACCCTCCCATCCCTCCCCCAGATGGCTCTGCAGTGCTGTTCTATGCTACTGCATCTACCCCAGCTCTTCAATTATTGCATTGTGCTCCATTTTATTCAGTGGCAATTTTAAGACCAATATCCTGGTACTACTCAGTATATTGTTCCTGCTATACAGCTGCAGAAAATACTTCCTCCTTCCTGAAATAGGCTGGAGAGTTTTTAATAACTACTGTAACTGCAGTGGCCTGGACACAGCCAGAATATCTTCATTCAGTAAATGTTATCTCCTGCGTTCTGATGGACTGCCTGTGAAAGCCTGTCTTGTCTCAGAGCAGGACCTCTAAGGGACTTGACATCTTCATGGATTTCTGAGCGAGAGAAGAGACAACTACAGACAAGTGAGCGTGATTTCTGCCTTGGGTTTTTCTTATCATTTACTGTCTAAAATGTGCAAAATTACTTGCCTTCTGTGATTTAGTGATTAGCTGAAAATCTGTCCAAATCTGGAAAATGACAGTGATATTACTTTACTGGAACTGCTGTAACAAAGCACCACAAACAGTGGCTTAAAAAAGCAGAAGTTGGCCGGGCGTGGTGGCTCACGCCTCTAATCCCAGCACTTTGGGAGGCCGAGGCGGGCAGATCACGAGGTCAGGAGATCGAGACCATCCTGGCTAACATGATGAAACCCCATCTCTACTAAAAATACAAAAAATTAGCCGGGCATGGTGGCAGGCGCCTGTAGTCCCAGCTACTCAGGAGGCTGAGGCAGGAGAATGGTGTGAACCCGGGAGGTGGAGCTTGCAGTGAGCCGAGATCGCACCATTGCACTCCAGCCTGGGCAAAAAAAAAGCAGAAGTTTCTGGTTCTAGATCCTTGAAGAATCGCCACGCTGTCTTCCACAGTGGTTGACCCAGCAATCCCATTACTGGGTATATACCCAAAGGATTACAAATCATTCTACTATAAAGACACATGCACACGTATGTTTATTGCAGCACTATTTACAATAGCAAAGACTTGGAATCAACCCAAATGCCCATCAATGACAGACTGGATAAAGAAAATGTGGCACATATATACCATGGAATACTATGCAGCCATAAAAAAGAATGAGTTCATGTCCTTTGCAGGGACATGGATGAAGCTGGAAGCCAATATTATCAGCAACTAACACAGGAAGAGAAAACCAAGTACCACCTGTTCTCACTCGTAAGTGAGAGTTGAACAATGAGAACACATGGACACAGGGAGCAGAACATCACACATGGGGGCCTCTTGGTCGGGGCGGGGGGAAGCGGAGGGAGAGAATTAGGACAAATACCTAATGCTTGAAGGGCTTAAAACCTAGATGATGGGTTGATAGGTGCAGCAAACCACCATGCCACGTGTATATCTATGTAACAAACCTGCATGTTGTATCCCAGAACTTAAAATAAATTTTTTTTAAAAAAGCAGAAGTTTACTCTTCCACAGTCCTGGAGGCTAGAAGTCCATGTGAAGGTGTTAGCCAAACCACGCTCTTTCCGAAGCCTCTAGGGGAAAATTCTTCTGATTCTTCCTTGCCTCTTCCAGCTCTGGTAGCACCAGGCATTCCTTAGGGTATATCTTCAACCCCTGCCTCTGTCGGCCCTCTTCCCTTTGTGTCTGTCTCTATCTCTTCTTCTTATAAGGACACTAGCCATTGGATTGGAGTCTACTCTAATCCACTATGACCTCATGTTGACTTGATTACAACTGCAAAGACATTTTCCAAAAAATGGGTCACATGCATAGGTATTGGGGGTCAGGACTTGGACATACCTTTTGGAAAGGACATAATTCAACCCATAAGAACACTTTTCCTCAACTTTTTATTTGCAAAGCACTCTGTGGTTAAAAGGAACTATCTGTGGAATCTCCTCAGATCTGCAGGGTTGACCAGGAATTATCACTCTAGTTCGGCAAGTGAGTCTAAACAGACTAAGGAAAGCTGAGATGAGCTTAAACAGATTGACTATAGAGAAGCAGAGAGTTGGAGGAGTCAGAAATAGCTCAGGAGGAAAGGTTGGGGGAGTGTCAGGGACTTAGATCCTTGACCTTTTTTTTTAACTTCGTATTAGTTGTTTTGCTTTGACCAGCCACATAGCCTTTCTGAGCCTCAGTTTCCTGAAGCCATTGGGGATAGAGATGGGGCATGGATTTGATAACCTTCTTTGAGGTTTTTTTTTTTCTAGCTTAATATAGATTCCAGAAAAGACTAGCAAAGTAGGCAGCAGGCATCACCCACCCATGAATGCCCATCCAGCTTTGAGAAGGGGGTCTCTGTTGGTGCATAGCTGGACACACAAAGCCAGAAATTCGCTCATTTCCAGTCAGCTTCAGGACCCACATTCCTTTACTTTAAAAGTGGGAAGAAAAATATATGAAGAACTCGTCCAAACCAGTAAGAAAAAGGGCAGACAACCCAATAGAAAAATGAGCAAAAGAACAGGCAGTTCCCAAAAGAGGACAAAATGGGCAATTAACATATAAAAAGACTATGACCCTCATTAGTCATTAAAAAATGCAAATTAAAATCCATATTGTTATACCACTATACAAAGTGTAGACCTAACCGAATGCCTAAAATGCAAAAATTGAGACAATGCCAGTTTTTAGTGGGACTGCGGAGCAATTGGAATACTTCAGAACCACTTTGCAATATCTACTTAACCTGAGCACATGCACACTCAATGACCTGGAAATTCCACTTGGAGGTATGTACTCAACAGAAATGCATACACATGCCGTCAAAAGACATGTTCAAGAATGTTTATTACAGCCCAAATGTCCATCAGTGACATAATGGGTAGAGTAAGATATTCATGTCATAGATTATTACACAGCATTAAGATGAACAAATGACAATGGCATGCATGGGATGGATGGATTTCACAAATGTAATATTCATACAAAGGGCACATACTGTATGATTCAAAGCATATAAAGCTCAGAAATGGATAAAACTATGCTATTGTGTAAGAAGGCGAGATGAGGGCAGGCACCATGGCTCATGCCTGTAATCCCAGCACTTTGGGAGGCCAAGGCGGTAGGATCAGCTGAGGTCGGGAGTTCGAGACCAGCCTGACCAACATGGAGAAACCCCGTCTCTACTAAAAATACAAAATTAGCCGGGCATAGTGGCACATGCCTGTTATCCCAGCTACTCGGGAGGCTGAGGTAGGAGAATTGCTTGGACCCAGGAGGCAGAGGTTGCGGTGAAAAGAGATCGAGCCATTGTACTCCAGCCTGGGCAACAAGAGCGAAACTCCATCTCAAAAAAAAAGAAAGAAAAAAGGCAAGATGATGGCAAGATATTGGGTAGGTTTTTGACTGTAAGGGGGATTCTGGTTTAGTGATATTCTGTTTCTTGGTCTGGGTTCTAGTTATTCAATTCATGAAAATTCATCAAGCTGTACAGTTATGATCTATGCACTTTTCTGAATGTACATTCCACTCTAATAAAAAGTTTGCTTATAAAAGCAAAAAACAAAAGTACTCTGCAAGTTTTTGTTGAAAGTATTTGCCAGCCACCAAACCGTTTGTGTCCTTAGTTCTATCACAACCTTGGCCAAATGATTTCTGTCCAGTGAGATAAAGAGGAAGAGTGAAGTGTTGTTGTCTAAAAGAACCACTTCCCACAACATGAAATCCAACCACACCCACCTTTGGGAGCCCACCCTGTCTGCCTAGAACATACCTCTATTTGCCCATAACACCTCCAAGCTCTCTCGGGCAGGGACGACTGTGTTCTTTGTCTCTGTGTTGCTAAAATATATATTTATTGAATGAATGAGTGAGTGAATGACCACACCCCATTCCATTCACACTTGAGAAAAACCCAGCCAAGTTAGGGAAGGTTTGAGATGGAAGGATTTCCACTTTCTCTCCCACCCCTCCCTCCTTCCCTATCTCTCTCTCTCTCTCTCTCTCTCTCTCTCTCTCTGTCACTCTCTCTGTCTCTCACTCTGTCTTTCTCTCTCAAAAAGCTTTCAGGAAGAAATAATTTAAAAAGCAAAAGCTGGATTACAGAACCTTTTCATTTATATGATCAAAAGTGAGTCCCAGGTAAAATCAGCAGGGGATTTTAAATTAAGTGGTTTTTAATAAACTTACTTTCTGTTGGATTATGAATAAGAAGAGAACTCTAGTGCTTCAAAGCAGAAGGGAGGAAGGTTGCGATTCTGAGGGTGATTTTTATCAGCATTTCTGAGATGAGAGTCTGCACGCTCCCCAGAGCCTCCTGCTGAGCAGCTGCGCTGTGTCCATAGGATTTCACTGGTTCAAACCAGCAAAGCCTCAAAAACCACTGAAGGACTAAGGAGCAAATCTTCATTTTCACGTAGTGGATCCTGCATTAGAGGTGGAGAGCTGAGGAAGTGCAGACCAAAGCCAGTGAGGACTCAAACTGAAGGGACAAGCAATATCCTATTAGAGTCCTGGGGGAAAAGGGGCAAATCGTTCTGACAGTGTTGGAAGCCGTAACCACCTTTGAGATTCACTGTGCACACTGATATATCAAAACCTATTTAACTTTATTTAACCCTAATCAATCATCTCCTACACTTATTTAACTTATTTAGCCCTGCTTCCACAACATTTACTAGCATCCTACAGAATGCTACATCATACACTGTGAGAAGTACTGAGTTTAGGAATAAAAGGTTTCATCTGAAACTTCCTCTGAACCTCATTCAAAGGAGTCATCCAGGCACTTTGGTCCCTACTTTCTCCTCCTGAGCCAAGGAGGTATGTGGTCTGAATTGACCAACCCAATTCTAGCTACATTCTTGTAGCTAGCCTAAAGAATGAAAATAGGGCAGGGAGGGAATAGTGGCAGAACCTTCTCTTAAACAGTTTTCATAATGCAAGCTTAAGGCATTCCCCTTTGCTAAAAAAGTTTTAAAGAGTTCTTGCCTGCAAGTAGTCCTCTACATGCTATGAAGTTACTTGGATGGTTTCAGATGCAGAAAGAAGGGAATGTTCCTACCATGCAGGAGGGAAAGTTGACATAAGTTAGCGCTGACACAGTGTCCTGAGTTGAATATTTATTGGCTCCATCCGGTTACCCACTATCACTAATCTTGGATCAGGCCCTACCCTAGGCCTACAGCTTCCTTTTCATACAGGACTGTCCTCAGGGAAGCCCTAGTTTTCCTGGCTTTTTTTTTTTTTTTTTTTTTGAGGCAGAGTCGCTGCGTCACCCAGGCTGGAGTGCAGCGGCGCGATCTCGGCTCACTGCAAGCTCCGCCTCCGGGGTTCACACCATTCTCCTGCCTCAGCCTCCCAAATAGCTGGGACTACAGGGGCCCGCCACCACGCCCGGCTAATTTTTTTGTATTTTTAGTAGAGACGGGGTTTCACCGTGTGTTAGCCAGGATGGTCTCAATCTCCTGACCTCGTGATCTGCCAGCCTTGGCCTCCCAAAGTGCTGGGATTACAGGTGTGAGCCACCATGCCCAGCCCTTTCCCGGCCTTTTATAATGATTGGGATCTTCCCAGGTTTTCACAGAGGCAGTCTGCTTATGGCCTGTGGTCTTCTCAAAGTCCTTCAAACATTTACTTACTGCTCCTCCAGGAGCTACTCTTTTGTTTTGGCTTTAGACCCCTGATTCAGCAAAGCCTCACCGTATTTAGTTATGAGCATGTAGATACACACACACATACACACACACACACACACACACACACACACACACACACACACGCTCCCAGGAGGTTGAGACCACATGGTATGGTTGAGACCACAAATCAAAGAGTGAAATTAATTTTACCACACGTTAGTTATATGGAAGCTTTAGTTTCTTCATCTGTAAAATGGAGGTAATTCTGTCTACCTTAGTTTCTTCATCTGTAAAATAGAGATAATTCCATCTACTTTGCAAGTTTGTCATAAGAATCAGAGGTCATCTGGCTGGGTGCAGTGGGTCACACCTGTAATCCCAGGACTTCGGGAGGCCGAGGCATGCGGATTACGAGGTCAGGAGTTCGAGACCAGCCTGGCCAACATGGTGAAACCCCGTCTCTACTAAAAATACAAAAAATTAGCTGGGTGTGGTGGCACACGCCTGTAGTGCCAGCTACTCAGGAGGCTGAGGCAGAAGAATCACTTGAACCTGGGAGGCAGAGGTTGCAGTGAGCCGAGATTGTGCCACTGCACTACAGCCTGGGTGACAGAGCGAGACTCTGTCTCAAAAAAAAAAAAAAAAAAGAATCAGAGGTCATCTAAGTTAAGTTCCTTCTCTCTAGTATACTGCAGTTGCTTGATAAATAGTAGGTATTATCATCATTGTCACCCTGTTTAGCTTCTCTTTTTTTTTTTTTTTTTGGCAGTTGCACTGGCAAAAAATAATGTCTAGCTCATAAAATAGCATTATTCTCACTTTCCTCTCTGCACAGATACCTACTTTTCTTTCCCTGCCATCTTGATTACTGAGCTGTTGCTAAAAAGAAAACATGGCCCTCTGATCCACAGATGAAAAGCCCTGCTACTTGACCAGATGTTCATGAGAGAATCCTTTGATTTTTAATTTATTTATTCATTTATTTATTTAGCGTTGGTCTCTGTGCTCCCAGCACAACAGCTGTAGGTAAAGTGCTGCGGGTCACATGCATCCCAGCCAGCTCCCTTGACAGTCCTTGTCAAATTTAAGGCATGTTGCCTCTGTGCAGAGCACTCAGGGGCAAGGGGCTTGCTCCAAGCTCCCAGACCCCGACGACAAGGATGGGAATGGGTGGATCAGGCAGCAGCGAATGCCAGGCAAAGGCCAAAGTCAAGCTTTTTGGCACCACCTTCCACCTGACAGCAGAAAAGCAGGGTCAAAAGTCTGATTTGGGGCACGCATTCCAAAGCCAAATCCGTGTTGTTTCAGCTTAAAAGGCTCCAGTTTCAAATGGAACCATTTTCATAACTTGAAGCAGTAGTCACTTAAAAATCCTCTTTCTACTTTGCACACATGCACATAATTTATATTAAATCCAGTGGGAATTAGGCAAGTTCAGTGAGGGATAATTAGACACCTTAATGAGGAAATGTATAGTTTCTGTAACTGTCATTTATTAAGCTTTTATGTACTACTTCATATTTTGAAAGCACTGCACAGCCATTAATTAGGATATTTCCGCAGCCCCATAGGAGCAAGGTCAATAAACAGAGTTCTGTTTCTCTTGGAAATGTTGTTTCTCAAGTCTTTTATGACCTGAGTGCAAACTCCTAACCTTTGAAGAAACTGGCAGATTGTCTTATAAGCTCATATCAATATGATGATTATATTTAACATCCTAAACAGACTCATTAGCTGCTTAAGAATATAATTTAAGCTCATAATTTTCCATACAGTGGATTTTCTTTCCTTTATTATTATTTGTTTTCTTCCTGTGGATGTATCTCTTAGCTGCCACTTGGAATAACCTCAAGAGATCTCCTAAGCATGCAGGCTGTGACACTATAAGCCACCTATTTTCAGAACACTGAGAAGGCTATGGGCCTGGAAATGTTTGCAAATATTGCAAATATTTCAAGTTGTCCAGTACATTTCACACTCACGGGAATTTTGAAGATTATTTGAATAATCAGTGGATTACAAAGAAAAATGATTTACTAGGTTTGGACATTAATTATCCATTAATAATTCCCACTACAGCACTGGTGGATACTCTTCCACTGTACCAGATGCCATTTAAATCTTTAAAGTGGCATCCACTTTAAAGATGCCATTTTTCTTGCTTTTGTTGTTGTTGTTGTTGTTTTTAAGACAGAGTCTCGCTGTGTTGCCCAGGCGGGAGTACAGTGGGGCCATCTTGGCTCACCACAACATCCGCCTCCCAGGTTCAAGCAATTCTTCTGCCTCAGCCTCCTAAGTAACTGTGATTACAGGCACCCACCACCACATCTGGCTAATTTTTGTATTTTTAGTAGAGACAGGGTTTTGCCGTATTGACCAGGCTGGTCTCGAACTCCTGACCTCAGGTGATCCACCCTCCTCTGCCTCTCAAAGTGCTGGGATCACAGGCGTGAGCCACCGCACCTGGCCCCCATTTTCTTTTTTGTTCCTCACAATCACCTTGGAGTTAATGTGGGATTGTCACTATATTACAAATAAGGATCTGAGGCTTAGAAACACAGTGACTTTTTTCAAGAATCATATTGATATTAAGCAGTGATATCAGGACTCAGAGCCAAGAGTGTGTTTTCCAAGTCCACTGCAGTTTTTTCTTTTTCCTTCCCCTTCTGGGATAGCTACAAAAAAAAAAAAAAAGAAGAAGCGTGTGTTCCCAGAATTCATTCTGCTGTGTCACTCTGAGGATGTGAGGATATTGGTTATAGGAATAACCTGTGGTAGGCTGGGCACGGTGGCTCACACCTGTAATTGCAACACTTGGGGAGGCCGAGGCAGGTGGATCATGAGGTCAGGAGTTCGAGAGCAGCCTGGCCAACATAGTGTAACCCTGTCTCTACTAAAAATACAAAAAATTAGCTGGGTGTGGTGGTGGGCACCTATAATCCCAGCTACTCGGGAGGCTGAGGCAGGAGAATCGCTAGAACCCGGGAGGCAGAGGTTGCAGTGAGCCGAGATCACGCCATTGCACTCCTGCCTGAGCGACAGTGCAAGACTCCGTCTCAAAAAAAAAAAAAAAAAAAAAAGGAAAAAGGAAATAACCTGTGGATAATTATAGATTTATGAGCAAAGACAAATGTTTTCACCCATGCTAGACAACTTTATGCAGCCTTTCTAAAATTTTCTTTTTTGGGAGAAGAGGGGGACATGGGTCATTACCTTTTGAGGTCTGCAGTTCAGATGTGGTGGACAGTATTTGCTACCTGCTAGATATTCAGCAACCCATTCCTTTGAAATCACTGTCCTAGAGAGAGAAGCCTGTCTGGTTTGACCTTTGTTCTTCCTGTCTCTCACTTATATAACCTTTTTTATCCTTAAGTTTCAGTGTAGACATCATTCATTTCAAGATGCCCTTCCCCTAATGCTTCCCCTGAGACACAGTCAGTTTACCTGTACCCCAGCTCCCATAGTTCTTCCCCACCTCCCATTTATCACAGTGCTTTGCATTTTTGTGATTACCTGTTTCCCTTCCCTATCAGGCCTTGCTCCCTGAGAACAAGGACTGTGTTTTAAAAACTTCCAAGTCCCCAGTTAACTAATGAATAGAACCAAAGCAGGTGCTCAAATAAAAAAATTTTGAAATGAATCATAGACGAAATGACTTCTGAATGCAGGACCTATGAGGATGTGAGGATATTGGTTATAGGAATAACCTGTGGTAGGCTGGGCACGGTGGCTCACACCTGTAATTGCAACACTTGGGGAGGCCGAGGCGGGTGGATCATGAGGTCAGGAGTTCGAGAGCAGCCTGGCCAACATAGTGTAACCCTGTCTCTACTAAAAATACAAAAAATTAGCTGGGTGTGGTGGTTTACACCTGTGTTCCCAGCACTTTGGGAGGCCAAGGTGGGCGGATCACTTGAGTTCAGGAATTCGAGACCAGCCTGGCTAACATGGTGAAACCCCTTCTCTCTTAAAAATACAAAAAACATTAGCCAGGCCTGGTGGCGCACACCTGTGGTCCTACTTACTCAGGAGGCTGAGGCACAAGAATGGCTTAAACCTGGGAGGCGGAGGGTGCAGTGAGCTGAGATCGTGCCACTCACTGCACTCCAGCCTGGGCAGCAGAGTAAGACTCTGTCTCAAAAAAAAAAAAAAAAAACACACAACAAAAGCAGACAGAGTCCCCTCTGGTTTGGCATGCCAAGAGCAGCTTGCCTATGGCCCAGCTGTGGTGTCTGGGAGCCCTGATTCCCAGAAGCCCACATGAGCCTGTGTCAGCCGAGCACACGTGTGACATTCATGTTTAAGAGGAAGCATGGTCTTTAAAAATGTCTAGGTACAAAGAAGAGCCACCCATGGGTTCTGCTGGCACAGGAAGCACAGGGTCTTTATTAGTTCTAATGTTCTAAGATAAACAGGGCAGTAAGAAGCAGTTGCCAGCACTGTGACATCGGAAACATCACCTCCATCCTCAGCACCTCGGTTCCCACATCGATGCAAACTTAGCAGTAAGGTCTAACCAGCCCCCCTTTCTAAGAATGTTGTGAGATTAGAGGAGGCTCAGGAAGCTGAGAGTGAAATTCATAAGCTTTGTGACATGTTTGCTCATGAATGTTTTTGTCTGCTTTGGATTCTGATTCTTGGTTGAATCGGGGTACAGAGAGTGGTATATTTAGTAAACGTTCTGGAATTCCAAAGAGAAAAGCAGCCTGAGAATCAGCTCATCAAATTCACAGAGGCAGAGGTTGCGGTTGTTTTATGGCAGAGTGCCAGTTTTCCTGGATGAAGTGGTCTGATGAAAGAAAAGAAAATTAAATTATGGCGAGAACCAGATGGTCTGGCCACAACCAAGGGGTTATAGCTTGTTCTGAAGACCACCCTGAAATACTGGAGGCCTTTGATCTTGTGAAATGGCAGGATAAATGACAGCAACATTTTAGCTTGGTTTTTTTTGTTTGGTTGGTTGGTTGGTTGGTTGGTTGGTTGGTTGGTTGGTTGGTTTTTGAGACTGAGTCTCATTCTGTCACCCTGGCTGGAGTACAGTGATGCAGTCGCGGCTCACTGCAACCTGTGCTTCCCAGGTTCAAGTGATTCTCCTGCCTCAGCCTCCCAAGTAACTGGGACTATAGGCACACACCACCATGCCCGGCTCATTTTGGTATTTTTAGTAGAGACAGGGTTTCTCCATGTTGGCCAGGCTGGTCTCAAACTCCTGACCTCAGGTGATCCGCCAGCCTCAGCCTCCCAAAGTGCTGGGATTACAGGCATGAGCCACCGCACCCAGCTAGTTTGGCTTTTCTAAAACAGATTCTGTTGTAGTCACTCTCTTGCTCTACATCCTTGTCTGGCTTTCAGTTGTCCTCAGTAGGACTTCCCAACCACTGTGTCACACATGGGTGACAAGTGCCAACAAAATCATCTCCTGGGCCTTGGGGATACTTTGGTAGGGCCTGGGGCCTCTGAAACCCTTGGATCAGCCTTTCCAGCCATAAGCAGCTTAACTCCCAGTGGGTTTTAAGAATAGCATTTTCTCTGTAGGAAACGGCATAAACATGGTTGGAACGCACCTGTGTTGCATAGATACGAGGCTCTTCCTGATTTATTGCCTGTGCGTGTGTTCAGGCGTCTGTCCTGGCATTTGCCTAAGCCTGCTATTGAAACTGTCTGGCCATGATACACTCTAGTTCTTGCGTAGCCCAGTCTTGTCATGCATCTCCTGCCTCTGTGCCTTTGTCCATGGTGTTTCCTCAGACAGCTTCCCCAACTGCCTGACCAAGTCCTAGCCCAGGCCACCCAGGCCTCCCTCCTGTGAGCTCTCTTCATAAGCACTGCATGATCTCAGTGTTTGCAGTCATCACATTGAATCCTAATGATGTACGTGTCTTATGTGTGTTTCCACAAAAGGGCCTGGCAAAGAATGAATGTTACACCTCCAGTAAATATATGCTGAGTTAATATGTTGAATAAAGCCCATGAGATTGGCCAGGCGTGGTGGCTCACACCTGTAAAATCCCAGCATTTTGGGAGGCTGAGGTGGGTGGATCACCTGAGGTCAGGAGTTTGAGACCAGCCTGGCCAACATGGCGAAACCCCATCTCTATTAAAAATACAAAAAATCAGCCAGGCGTGGTGGTGTGTGCCTGTAGTTCCAGTTACTTGGGATGCTGAGGCAGGAGAATTGCTTGAACCTGGGAGGCAGAGGTTACAGTGAGCCGAGATCGTGCCATTGCACTCCAGCCTGGGCAGCAGAGCAAGACTCTGTCTAAAAAAATAAAAAAATTTAAAAAGCCCATGAGATTGGTGAAAGTAGTGAAGCAAAATAAGTACAAGTCTATTTCTGTGAATTCACACATAGTAGCTACTCAGTAAATAACTGTTGAATGAATGAATAAAAGAAATGTAAAAGGTGTTTTAAATTTAGAATCTGTGGACTCAGTAATGGCTGACTGTAAGAGAAATGGAAGATGGAGTAGTTGAAGATGTTTCAAGACAAGGAGCGCCTTCAACACGGCAATCCCGGTCCAACTTTGGAAGCTGCACCCTAGCTAAGCTCTCGAGACATGAATCAAGATTAGGATATTTATTGCAGCATTGTTCATAATGGCAAAAACATAGTAAACAACCAAAATGTCCTTCAGGAGAGGAATGGATAAATAAATTATGGTATAGGTATAAAATGGATGATGTGATTACAGTGACTAAACTAGATAGGAAATACTAACATAGTTAAATCTTAAAGACATAACAGTGGGTGAAAAGGCAAGTTAGAATAGGAAATACGCAATCCAAAACACACTAAAAATACCATGTGTTATTATGTGCATAGAGGATAAAAATATAAAAACAAGCCTAGGAATAAAACACAGACCCCTGGGAATACTGGCTGCCTTTGAGGAAGAGAGGAGGTAGAATGAGATGAACTTTAGATTTATCTGTAATGCTTTAATTTTTTAACAGTAAATGTGGCAAGGTATTATAACAACCATTATATCTAGGTGGTGGGTATTCATTATATTAGTTTGTGTGCTTTTCTATTGTTTTGAAATAGTTCATAATTTTAAAAATTAAAGTCACGCAAAAGAAAAGACTGGCTAACAGGGAGGATGATCCTGCATCTCTGCATTTAGTCATCTGTTTTAGACATTCCGACTTTTCAGGCAACCTGGCAAATCACATCTGCCAAGTCTCACACCATTTAAAAGCATCAGTTCTCAGCTTGGTCACCAGAGACTCATAGGTTTATCCTGGACCTCTCTAGAGGCTTCAAAAATGTGCATTAATATATTTCATCATTGTTTCTAGTTTCCCACCATCCCCCCCCCCATTTTTTAATACATTGGAGCATCTATCCAACCTAATTATAATTCATTTTTGTAATAAGATTAATGAAATTCTTTCTTTCTTTTTTTTTTTTTTTTTTTTGAGACAGAGTCTCACTCTGTTACCCCCACTGGAGGACAGTGGTGCAATCTCAGCTCACCGCATCCTCCGTCTCCTGGGTTCAAGCTATTCTTGTGCCTCAGCCTCAGGAGTAGCTGGGACTACAGGCGTGCACCACCACACCCGGCTAGTTTTTTTGTATTTTTAGTAGAGGTGGGGTTTCGCCATGTTGGCGGGGCTGGTCTTGGACTCCTGACTTCAGATGATCTGTGCACCTTGGCCTCCCAAAGTGCTGAGATTACAGGCATGAGCCACCACACCTGCCCGCCCTTTTTTTGTTTTTTGTTTTTTGTTTTTTGTTTTTTGAGATGGAGTCTTGCTCAGTTACCTAGGCTGGAGTACAGTGGCACAATCTCGGCTCACTGCAACCTCCGCCTCCTGGATTCAAGCACTTCTCCTGCCTCAGCCTCCTGAGTAGCTGGGATTACAAGCACACACCACAATGCCTAGCTAATTTTTTTGTATTTTTAGTAGAGACGGGGTTTCACCATGTTGGCCAGGCTGGTCTTGAACTCCTGACCTCAAGTGATCCACCCACCTTGGCCTCCCAAAGTGCTGGGGTCACAGGTGTGAGCCACCATGCCCGGCTTCATTCATATTTTTGACTGGAATATATTTTCTTAAATCAGTCACCAGTGACTTACATCACTATATTCTCTTGGTTTGTAACTTTGTAAATGTTTCTTTTCTTTCTACCCCCCCCAACATTGTTTATCTGAGTAAAACAATCAGATAATACATTTATGGCGAACAATTTCCACTGTGTACCTTCCTCCCCAACTCCATATTCAGTGATATGATATTGCTAGCTTGAAATTAGCCATGATGGGAGTGTTTACACCTTGGCAATTGGCAAATGCTACAAATCCGGCCGTTTTTTTCCCCCAGAGAGCTGATGGTTAAACATTACCAGCCTACCACAAGAGTGCGCAACAGTTTTCTGAGCTGTGCAGGGCAAGTAGCATTTTTCTCATTTAACACTCATAGAAACTGAGAGTCAACAAAAGACAGATCTTGACCTGAGTCCCATGGCTCCAAAGTGACATTGCTGGGGCTCTAGTCTATGTGGTTGAGTGGAAGAAGCACTGGCCTTGGAATCACGCAGATCTGAGTTTGAATCTGACATAGCTACTTTTGAACAGTGAATTGACAAGTGTCCGATTTAGCCCCTCAGTTTCCTCACCTATAAAATAAGGATAACAAAATCTATCTTGTAGAGATCTCAGGGAGCATTAGGGGAAATGATACGTGATGTGCAAAAACCCTAACAAAGCACAAAGGACCTATGCAGCAGATCTAATTTGTCCTTCAGACTTACAAGTTCAGATCTCTGTGTATTAACCCAATCTTCCCATAGCCATATAGATACTATTTTTTTTCCAACTCCACCTGGCCAAACACCTTTCACTAAATGGTGAATATATCTTTTCTCCAAATATGTGCCACTGGAATAAGTAAAGAGGCTTAGAGTTGACATTTGTATGTGATTTGGGGAAATCAGTTTCTTTCCTAGAGTCTTGGAAATGCAGGTGCTAGGTTTCAACTAAGATCATTTTTCAACTGCCTTGAGTCTTCCCCACTGACCATTCTGCTGAGCTAAGCATCCTGAAGAGGATTGATTTGGGGGCCTCTGGGTGCTACAGTTCCACCCACCAAATTGACTGCAGTGGCCTGCAGGGAAATTCTCTCGGCTTTTTGTGTTCCGTGCTCAGGGCTTTTTCTGCTTGCTCTAACTGACCTGATGGTAGATAGTTGCTTCTCAGCCATTCAGCTAAGCCTAAGTGTATTTTTCTTTTTTAGATTTTAACTGATGTATTTATTTTTTGCCTGAATAATATGTTTAGTTGTTTTAGCTTTTTTTTTTTTTTTTTTTTTTTTTTTGAGACGGTGTCCTGCGCTGTCGTCCAGGCTGGAGTGCCGTGGCACGATCTCAGCTCACTGCAACCTCCACCTCCCAGGTTCGAGTGATTCTCCTGCCTCAGCCTCCCAAGTAACTGGGATCACAGGCATGCACCACCACACCCAGCTAATTTTGCATTTTTAGTAGAGATGGGGTTTCACCATGTTGGCCAGGCTAATCTGACCTCAGGTGATCCACCCACCTCCCCTCCCAAAGTGCTGGGTTTACAGGCATGAACCACCACCACACCCGGCTGTTGTTTTAGCGTTTTAAAAAACACAAAAGGATATAGACAAGGGGAGTTTCCCTCCCTAAACAACCCTCCATTCACCCAGGTCCCTTCCGCAGAAAGTAACCAAGAAAAGATACCAAGGAAGAGGAACCACCTCTTATTATTAGTTTCTTATGAGCTCACAGGCTTCTGGAGCTCACCTTAAAGACCCAGCGTGGATGGGCCAAAAAGACCCTCTTGAAATCAGGAAGACTGAGACAGGCCCATATGGCTTGTCAGTAATCATCAAGCAAATTGGCAAAGCCATACCCAGAATAAAGTCACAGAGGAGCTGCTTTTGTGTGTACGGATAAATGGTATACATCGTACAAATTCCACCTATCAGCTCAACCTAGGTAGGTGGTCATATCTCTGGGGAAAAACACAGGAGAGAACCTAATGTCTATAAGGAATGTGCTCTGTATCCAGTGCAGAGCTAGAATCTTTTTTTTCATTATTGTGGTGAGATATACATAACATAAATTTACCGTGTTAACCATGTTTAAACGTACAGTTGAGCGGCATGAAGTCCATTCACATTGTTGTGCGGCCACCACCACTGTCCATCTCCATACAATGCTAGGCTCTCCCTGCCCTCATCACTTACTCCTTCCAACAGTCCTTTGAGGCCTGTATGACCAGTCTCCATACAACAAGGAGGTCTCAGAGAGATGGTTTCATGTCTCCTATCGAGTAACTGGCAGGTCCTAGGCTTGAACCCAGGTGTATTCGTCTCCAAAACAGGTGCCCCATACTGTGGAGCCTCATTGGAAGAATTTTTAGAGGGAAGACTCATCTGCAGCAGTGCATAGGCCTCTTGTCTGCATAAGACAATCATCCCCGAGAGACTGTGGCTGTGATGTGAGTAGGTGTGCCTAGCTCTCCATCTTTTTTATTTTTTAATTTTCTCTTTTATCCTGTGCTGTTGCCCAGGGGTGATCCTGTTACTTCTGGATAAGCTGCGGAAGATGAAATGGGAGCAGATGTGGAGGCTGACCGCAGAGAGGGAGCTCATGGGCATGCTCTCTACATCCTTAGCTGACCAGGTGAGTGGCCAGGTTCGAAGGTGCAGCTATTCCTGAGTGTGCTTGGTGCTGTTTCTCAAAGAAACTTAAAATTAAATCGATCTGAATGGTTTTCTACGTATTGTGTGACTCTGTGTGCTCTGATACAGCTGCCTTATTCTTGCCAGTCTAAGACAACAGCTCAACTCCTTAGTGCCTTCCCTTTGTTCATTCATTTGTTCATTCGGCAGACTTTCACTGAGTACTGTGTATACCAGGAGCCAAGTTCAGAAAAAGGATGACAGAGATAGACGAAGGATGCAGCACTTGCCCTCATAGAGCTTAGCGTCTACTGACGCAGACTCATAAGTAGATGTCGGTGCCCTCTTCATCACCAGGTGGAGTGCACAGGGCCTGCTCTCTGGGACCCCAGAATGCCACAGCATATTTCCCAGGCAAGGTTTCACTGGCCTCCCTGGCAAATAGAGTCTAACCTTTAATCTGAGCCTTTTGCTTAGATGCTGTCCTAGTGTCCCTTTACTCAAGGGAAATGCACTTAAATAGAAAGAATAAACTGCAAGAAAACCACCTTGCTATGCAGGCAGCCTCAGAAACTCCTTGAACTCTACCAAACTGTTAGCAAATATTCATTTTTATTATTTTATTTTATTTTTGAGGTGGAGTCTCGCTCTGTCACCCAGGCTGGAATGCAGTGGTACAGTCTCGGCTCACGGCAACCTCCGCCTCCTGGGTTCAAGCAATTCTCCTGCCTCAGCCTCCCAAGTCGCTAGGATTACAGGCGTGCAGCACCACACCAGGCTAATTTTTGTATTTTTAGTAGAGATGGGGTTTCTCCACGTTGGCCAGGCTGGTTTTGAACTCCTGACCTCAGATGATCCGCCTGCCTCAGCCTCCCAAAGTGCTGGGATTACAGGCATGAGTCTCTGCACCCAGCCAACAAATAGTCATTTTTTAAAAACCTATTCCTCATTTTGACGTCCTAGGAAAGGCAGAGGGCTCCAGTCTGACTTTGAGTCTACCAGGATCACTCATTTAAATTTTCATCTTCCTGTGGCACTGGTAGCTGTCTTCAGGCACGAAGATGATTTCTCTGAGTTTTCTGCATTTCACCCTTTCCTTTTCATCCAAAGAGCCAGCTCACTCTGCATGTTTTTGTTCAAAGTGCAATTTCCTGGTTCGTCGAATGCCTGCAAAGTTTCATAATACGGAGGAAACAAGAAACCCTGCATGATTACTTTACTATTTTTTAAAGTATTATTATTCAGTATTTCCCAAGCAGCCAGAAACTGATTTCCTTTTTCAAACATGAGATAGAGTATAATGAATGAGTTTAAGAAAAAAAATAATACCCAGGTAGCTGTTTTAAACCTGAGGGGAAAATCGTCCACCAGCCTCATATTTCAAGTCGGGTCACAGTGACTTGAGCATGTCCCCCAAAGCTAGCAATTGTATGCCCATGTCCAGTAAGGATAGTTTATTCAGCCATCTTCTGCCACGAAGGCCCATAATTCACCTCCCGGCGCCACCTGTCAGCAGCTAGTTAATAAGTATGGCCTGGTGCAACAGCTTGGAGAAGAGCCCAAAAAAGGTAAAACCTCCCTAGACAAGTCAGGGTTGGATTTTGAAACGGGGAGTGCGTATCCTGGGCACCATGGGCTGCAGAAATCCAAGGAGCATCCATCACTGAGTCCACCGCAGGCCCCAGGAAGCACTGCTGAAAGGGAGGATCTGTAATTTGTCTCAGTCCCTGAATGAGTGGGGCTACTTGTCATCATGCAGTTTCCTCTCCAGGAGGCTCAGGATGGGTAACACAGGGCTCCTGCCTAGGAGGCCAGAGGGGAAGGAGACTTCGTTTTTCATATGCCAGTGAGGGTAGGGAAGACACCCCATGTCTGCACATGTGAGCTCACTGGATAGGGCCTTATGAGACCAGCAGGACTCTGGAGCTTCCAGTCAGCCTGGGACATTCCCCCGTCTCTATCCAAACATTATTGCTTGGTTCCTAGAGATAACAGGCAAGAGAGATGCCTCACAGTGCGAGCCAGCCTGTGTTCAGAGCAGGAGGTTCAAGAGAAGCCCTATCACAGGGGATGCAGTGCCTTGAGAGCCAAAATGGGCAGCTGGACCATCCGACTGTCTTGACTGTGTCTTTGGCTTTCATCCCCCAGGATATTTTCAATGCCGTCATCAAACAAAACCCCTTCCTTGTGTACCAGCTCCCCTGCTTCTGGAATGTGCAGCTGTCAGACCACACCCGCTCCGAGCAGTGCTACAGAGACGTGTCTGATCTAAAGGTAGGGTCAACACAGGGACATCCCTGGAGGTAGGGTGAGGTGGGCCGAGAGGACCTCCCAGGGGCATGGATGGCTGGGAGATTTATGTGCAATGTGGTGAGAGAGATAAGGGCACAGGAGAGCAGAATGAGTATGCTTTTCATCTTTGTGGGGTGTTGGTTTTTTTCCACCCTTATTTGGGCTTTCTGGAAAGCCTAAAGCCTCCTGGCGTAAGAACCAGCTTGTGTGGTTATTATTCTTGCCATCTGCTGCTGGCTCTTTTGGTTCATGCCAGCTCCCCAAATCTATTCATTCAACTCAAGCAAAAACATTTATTGAGGGCCTACTCTGTGCCAGGTGCTATAGATGTGGATGTGAATAATTAACCTGCTTCCAAGTCATGTATGACTTGGAGGAGGAGAGAAATGTGCAAAGAAGTAAGTATTTAAAAAAGGACAAAGTGCTATGACAGGTGTGGGTGGGTCAGTCGGGGAGATGCAAGCATAAATGTCTCATTCTTCCTCACAGAGGGCGGACAATGACAGAAAAAGCTTTCATCACCACTCTGTAGGTACCAAACACTGTGAATGAACCTGGCTATAGAAAGAGGAAGAAGACAGGGTATATTAGTCATCTACTGCTATAGATAATGCTGCATAACAAGCTATTCTGATAGTGGCCTAAATCAGCAACCATTTATATAGTTGATGAGTTTGTAGGCTGGTTGGATGGTTCATTTTTTTACTGGTTTAACAGAGTATTTGTGGTCAGCTTCAGATGGGACAGCTGGTGACTGGGGCAACTTAGATGTCCTCTGTCCCCTCAGCAAGCCAGTATGGTGTTTTCTCATGGTGAGGCAGAGGTGGCAGAGGAAGCCCTAATACACAAGAGGAAACCTTGAGTCATTGTTGCTAATATCCCTCATTGGCCAAAGTAACTGTATGACTAAGCCCGTATGATTACTTTGAGTAAGGAGTGTGAGTTAAGGAGTGTGTTAGAATTCCCTCCCTACAGTGGAAGGAGTAAAGAATTGACCACAACTATTCAACAGAACGAAGATTTCAACACAGGCCTGTCTGACAGCAAGGGCTTTTGCCTCTCAGGTTGTATCACAGAGGATTAGATACATGCATCCTTAAAGAATTTGTTCCATATAAAGTTTATATCCATTGCAAGTTTTAAAAAGGAAAAAGGATTGCAAAGCTAGCTTTTCTAATAAATTAGTCTTTTGTACTTGGCTTCTGATCCATGTCCCCATGTGGGTATTATGTCTTATTTGTAGTCATAACGCATGTTAAATGTGGTTTTCTGCTTTTCATTTGTTGCATATCATAAGCATTTTCTGGGTGAGCCACATGGTGTTAATGAACATCATATCCAATAGTTAGTCTGTTACCTAGCCACTCCCTTGACCTTAGTTGTTTTCAAATTTTCATAAATATAAATTATATCTTAATTAACAGCTTTGTCCATGAAGCCCTTCCATCCAATATTGTTGTAGCTTGCCTTTCCAGGAATGAAATTATAGCATTAGAAAGAAAGAACTTTTTTTTAACTGCACTTGAAATTTATTTCAAAATATTAGAAAGGATTTAAAACAGAGGTGCCTGCAACATTCATTCCTTCCATCGGCATTTATTCAGTTCCTTCTGTATATCATGTGCTTGTTAGAAATAAGGAAAAGAGAAGAAACAGACAGGAATATTGTCAAGAATATCATGGATTAAAAAGTTTGGAGAGGGGGCGAAATAAAACCAACTGTGTAAAGAATATGTAAAAATGCTGGATTAAAAAATATTTTACATGCTTTGAAAGCATAATTGATCGGTTCATAAAGCAAGTAAAGAAAGCAAAGGCCAGAAACAATGACAGAGTGAATCCAAAAAGATAAGCAAAGAGCAACTGGATGTCACCTTTGCCCTTGGAAGGGATGATCCCTAGTGGCAGGGAGCCTGGTTTAAAGGTGAGCCTGGTATTATAAGAAATCTATTTAGTCTTTGTCCCTGGTTCCTGGAACAGAGCTCCTAAAACCCTTGAAATTTCCTGAGTGATAAGAACAGCTTTTATTGTGTATATGAGCCCCTTTGGGTTATACCTGAGTTTATGCTAATGAGGTGTCTTAGAGTAGGGCCCCTAGAGAGCCTCAGGATGGAAAGACCAAGTGATCAGAGGGTTAGAACTTCCCCACTGATCAATTCCCACCTACGAGTGAGAACATGCGGTGTTTGGTTTTCTATCCTTGCAATTGTTTGCTCAGAATGATGGTTTCCAGCTTCATCCATGTCCCTACAAAGGACATGAACTTATCCTTTTTTATGGCTGCATAGTGTTCCATGGTGTATATGTGCCACATTTTCTTAATCCAGTCTGTCACTGATGGACATTTGGGTTGGTTCCAAGTCTTTGCTATTGTGAATAGTGCCGCAGTAAACATAGGTGTGCATGTGTCTTTATAGCAGAACAATGAGAACACTTGGACACAGGGTGGGGAACATCACACACCGGGGCCTGTCATGGGGTGGGGGAGAGAGGAGGAATAGCATTAGGAGATATACCTAATGTAAAGGACAAGTTAGTGGGTGCAGCACACCAACATGGCACATGTACACATATGTAACAAACCTGCACGTTGTGCACATGTACCCTAGAACTTAAAGTATAATAAAAAAAAAAAAAAGAAAGAAATCACTCAGCAAATATAAAGCTTTGCCTGTGTGACTTCTTTCATAAAATAAAGACTTTACGACACTCAAAAAAAAAAAAAAGAACTTCCCCACTGAAAGTTCCATGGACCTCTGGGAAGGCAGGAGGGTGTGCTAGAAATCAAGCTCTTTAAATGCTCTTGAATAACAAGATTTGATGAACTTCTGGGTTGGTGAACACTATTGTTGCTGCAGGGTGGTGTGCCCAGAGAAGGCATGGAAGCTCCATACCCCCTCACCCCACACCCCCATATTTTGCCTTATGTACCTCTTCTCTCTGGCTGTTCCCAAGTTGCATCCTTGATAATAAGCTAGTAAATGTGTTTCCCAGAGTTTCAGGAGCCATTCTAGTAAATTATGGAACCCAAGGAGGGGATCATAGGAATCCTTGATTTACAGCAAATCTGTCAGAGGACAGGAGACTGGGATTTGCAACTGGCATCTGAAGTGGGCAGCCTCGTGGGACTAAGCCACTAACCCATAGAGTCTGATGCTTTTGTCAAGGAGGTAGTGTCACTGTTGTATTAAATTATAGGGACCCAGCTAGTGTTGAAGAACTGGTCATTGTAGGAAAATAACCCCACAATATCTGGCATCAGAAGTCTTCTGTGTGAGAGTATAGAAAAACAGTGGTTTTTCTCAATAGGTAACTGTATAATTTATTGTTCAAACAAGCGAATGCTATCATGGGATACAGAGGGACAATAGGCCAACAGGCAAAACATATAATTATTCTGTTGAAATACTATACACAGGACCTTAGGCCCACAAGAAGAAAGACCTCACATAAAGGCCTCACATAAAGTCAGGATCCACAAAGAGTATTATCCTCAGCGGATAAACAGTTAATAAAACTCAGAGTGTAGAAGAAGACAGTAGAGGTTGTTGTCTGTTTCATCCTTGGTTTTAGGTAGAATGAGGGAGAAATGTTTCCTCTGAGATTTTATTTTAAGCCTATGCCCATATTATTTTGGGGGCTGAAATTACATGTGTGGGAGCAAAAATGGAAAGAAAAAAAATTAAAAATTTGCCAGGCACTTGGCAGAAACTAACATAAATCTGATCTAGAAGAATATTCTTAAAAACAAGTCTTCAGAATTTTTTAGGGGAAGTTACAAGGAAAGCAAGGTTCTCAGGAATCACAAAACACACAAGGAAGTAAGCTACCCTGAGAAAGTGCAAAAACTGAAGACTGGAGTTAAATCTGAAAGACTGCAAATATTGGACTTACCAGATATAAAACATAAGTATTTTTATTACATGTAGAAATAAAAAATGAATATTGAAAGTAGGATGAAGGAATAGTAGATTCTCAAAAAATGAATAGCCGTATTTGGATTAAATAGTATTTTTAGAAGTGAAAGATATGATTATTGAAATTAAATGGATATGTTAAACAGCAGCTTAAACACAGCTGAAGAGAGAATTAGTGAACTGGAAGAGGTATAAGAAATTACCCAAGATGCAACACAGAATGAAAAGAGATAGAAAAACTGAGAAAGAAGCAAAGAAATTGGGATATGTCTCATTGGACTATCAGAAGGAGATAATAGAGAAAATTGGAAGTGAGGCATATCTTAAGTATGCCAAGAAACAATAACAGGTTGTATACCTAGAAGAATAATCTTTCAAGTATAAGATAACAAAGAGAATTTTCTGCAAACATGCAAAGAAACTGCTAAAGTATTGTCAGCCTTAATAATGAAGAGATCCTCTCTAAAAGAAAATTATATTTATTCTGGAATAGTGCATTGCAATGGGAATATACATGCCATAGCAAACTATGTGCATACCCAGGGAGGTAAAGGAAGATAAAGGTTTTTAAAGGAAAAATGAAGAGGATTTTATAATTGTTTGGAGATAATTATCTTTGGCCAAAGGATCAGTAACAAAGTTGACACCAGTCCAAGACTGGACAGGCAGTTGCTGGGCAGACGTGCCTGCAGAAGTTTTTATTTTGTGTGTGTAAAGTTACGATGGCATTTGTGCAAGATTGTGGTTTTCACGGAGTCTTTTGTAATCATTCTTGTTATCAGACACTTGTGGAAGAAAAGCCTCTTTCCATGGCATTCCTGGTTCTATTTGTCAGGGTTTTGTTAACACAAATGACTCCATTTTTATTTTGGCAACATTCATATTTCACCCTTTTGATCAAGATGTTTCCCCAAAAGTGTCACTGTTCAGTCATCCTTTAGTTAGGTTTTCATGTCTCTCAGTGCCAGGATGGACCTCTCCCAGGTTTCTGGTCTTGTTTCACGTTGGAGAGAATGAATGGCAGCTAGGAGTCAGTGTCAAAACCTTTTTAACCACATTTGAGCAATAAGGAAGTTTAAGTGGGGTGCTCCTCGTCTGTCTACTTGGAGTCTGTAATTAAGTTCAATTTTGTCTGTTCCATAGGCATGTGTTACCATCTCAAAGTGCTGGGTTAGCATTATACTGTTAGGATTCGTACATCTGTAAAAAATTTGAACAAGTAACAGATACAAAATTAAAGAGAAAAATGCAAAGTAAAATTAATAGTGATGTGACAAGAACAGTTTGCATAAGGACTTTGAGCAATAAACCTAGGCTTTAAAGACAGCCAATTGAATAAACAAAATGACCATTATCCTACCAAGTGAAAAAGGTAGGCTTTGTTATATCATTATGATATAGAGCCTTGTTCTGACATCTTGAAAAAAAGCTGTCTACAGCATGAAAACAATCAACTCTCGTCCTGGTTTGCAGTTTGAATGTCTCTGGTGATGGCATGGGACAGTTTGGTGAACCTTGTGTGGCCCAGACATCAGGCACGAGACTTATTTCTTAAAATTCATCTAGTTTCATCTTATAGGGCTTCCAAAACAGAGAAATTCCCATTTGTGGTAACTGCATAGAAGAAAGTAGGATTGTAGAAATCTAGAAGAGTTCTATAGGCAAATAACAAATAGCAATTTGCTCTATAGGCAAATAACAAGAACTTGAAAACAGTGCACACAGCTATCATCTAATAACAGGTGTATTCTAGCTTTCTTTAGAAATATAACTCGTGTCCGCATTTTTTTCTTTAAATCATAGCCATATGGGAAATTTTCTATTTTGTTATGGTTCTCTTTTATTGATGGGCATGCAGTGAGTGTTTCTTGGAAATGGCCAATTTTTATTAAAATATTTCTGGAAGAAAAAAAAGAACAGAAACATAACTTTTTCTTCCTACGGTGATATTGGCTTTTCCAAAAATAGAGTAAGACAAATTTGTTTCTAAAATAAATTTAGTTTTTATCAAATATTGCCTGCAAGAATAGTGATTTGACCACATAGTAATCTCAGATTTAAAAACCTTTCAAAGCTAAGCTGGTGGCAAGTGCCTGTAGTTCTAGCTACTGGGGAGGTTGAGGTGGGAGAACTGCTTCACCCCAGGAGCCTGAGGTTACAGTGAGCTGTGATTGTGCCACTGCACTCCAGCCTGAGTGACAGAGAGAAACCATGTCTCAAAAAAATAAATAAAAAATAAACATAAATAAAAATAAAAATTTCTTGAGGTTAATAAGATAACCCAAGACAGACTTTAGGTTATACTTACAGTCCTAATGTTCCTGCACCTGCCAGGAATTGATAATTTTTATTCATCTACTCTAAGGCTGAGAACCCTAGAAGTCAGGCAGTTTATACATATTCTCAGATATGACATTTCAGTCAAAGCCTTGATGATATAACCAATTGTTGCCATTGTATCCTGCTATAGAGAGAGAGTTAATTTTTTTTTTATTTTTAGGAGAGACAGAGTTTCACCATGTATGCCAGGCTGGTCTCAAACTCCTGGCCTCAAGGGGTCTGCCCACCTGGCTTACAGACATGAGCCACTGTGGCAGGCAGAGAGAGCAAATGTTATTGAACTTGTATAAATAACCATATTACCGTAAAAAATAAGAATACTCACAAAATCTCTCCAAACTTTGGAGAGAGAAAATTGGAAGAAGGAAATGCTTCTACCTTGTTCACAAATATATAGTTTACCAAATCATTGTGCACTATAGACAGCTTAGGGAAGAAAATTTCCTTAAATCTGGAAAACAAAACATTTAAGTGAAGAACTAACAGTGTTTTAAATAAAAGTCAAAAACATTATCAGTTACTTAATCTCATGCAATTTATTTTTGTTCTGCTTGAGCTTGATTAGTAGTTTCATGAATTCATGTTTCTTCATTGGAGTTCTCAAACATTTGCATTTAGTCCATTGATCTTAAAGTTTTTATTAACCTATATCTAAGAGTACTTGTTAGAGTCGCTTCCATAAATTTGCTTGCAAATGCCTTTAAAGAAGAATTCAAAACAATAGCTGTGGATAAAAACTTAGAATAGCCATGGCTAAAAATCTGATGGGAGTTCATTATAATAAGCAATTAACATGGAAATTTAGTTATTTTTGTGCCACACAACATAATGTCTAGAATTTTAACTAATGTCATATTAGATTTTTAAGAATTTTATATAATTTGGGTAGATACCCATAAATGTAATGCAAAGAAGATCTAGTATCACTTATTATTTGACAGCATTTAGCATGCAGTTCACAAAATAAGACTAATCATTTAATATTTCTACAAGATGAGAGATACATTCTTTGAGACTCTCCAGAGTCTCTGGAAAATCCAAAAGTTAATTTCAGGTCAATAAAACTTAAGTTAGAATTTTGATTCATGGAAACCTGCCAAAGATTTTAAAAGGTTGAAAGCACTTGATAAGAAGTTACTGTGAAGTAATAGTCATTCATGTAACCAGAGTGATTATCAAAAGACGATAGAGAAACTTACGTGGAATCTTAGTGCTTTCAAAACTCCATTTTCCTAAGTAATCAAATACTGAATAAAGATAACACAGGAAATTATATTGATAACATATAAAATGTTTGTTTCTTAGGCCAGTTATTAAAAAGGTAAGAAACAACTTCAGCAGGTTGATTGCTTCTCCTTGTGAGAAGCCAATGTATAATAGATAACCAGGTAGTCGACCTGATGAAAAGGGTACTTGAATTTAATCTGACATAGAAAGAATGAGTCCAAGGTTAGGAATGTATACCATATTATACAGGAATGTAAACAAGAAAACTAGCACCTTGAGCAGGGGAATACATGGTCCTTAGTAATAGCACGGGAAGTTTCTTGGTTACATGGGATAATTCCGACATGTCAAGAAAAGCCAAGAGTACAAAATCAAGGTATACTGGTGGAAGACATTGCCTTTGTAGGCCTTCAAGATAAACTTTTTTTTTTTTTTTTTTTTTTTGAGACGGAGTCTCACTCTATCCCCAGGCTGGAGTGCAATGGCGCGATATCGGCTGACTGCAACCTCCACCTCCCGGGTTCAAGTGATTCTCCTGCCTCAGCCTCCCGAGTAGCTGGAACTACAAGCGCGTGCCACCACACGTGGCTAATTTGTTGTATTTTTAGTAGAGACAGGGTTTCACCATGTTATCCAGGATGGTCTCGATCTCCTGACTTCATGATCTGCCTGCCTCAGCCTCCCAAAGTGTTGGGATTACAGGCATAAGCCACCGTACCCAAGATAAACATTTAATGGACAAGCCATAATAGCAGAGTTAGAACTGGGGGAAAAAAAACAGTTACAGGAAGGAATGGAAAACTTAAAGGAGAGAGTTATCCCAGGCCTTCTCAAGGGTAGAAAGACGAAGAGCAGAAGGCAATGATGTATGACCTGAAAATCACATGCAGCAAGATATAGCAAAAGTTGAACTTCTGAGACATGAATCTGAAAAGCTTCCAGAGGAAACCTCTGCCTCAAGAAGTGAAATTACCATTCTAAATGAAGAAGACAGCATTTCTAACCCAAAACTAGGGAAATTAAATGGATCTCAGGAAGAAATTTTGCAGAAATAGAAACTGCAGTTCAGAAGATGGCAGTTAAACAGATTTCAGAATTAAAAATTATGATCTCTTATGGTTTTACTAAGAGCAGATCAGTACTTCAAGAAAACCTTGTTGTTCTAACATAGGGGATGAAAATTTTAGTTTTGTTTTAGTGTATTTTTAATAGCAAAGCTCAATCTTTAGGAAGGCTTATAAATAATTGCCTTCTAATTACAGGCAACTTGATCACACCCACAATTTCTTTTATAAATTTATCCTTCATAAACTTTATCGTGACTTACTCAGACCTTTTACAACATGCTTAAACTTTCTGCTTTGTCCTTTACTTTCTCTTTATTAAATAACCAGTCATTTTACTTTAAGACAAAAATTTACCACATAAGATTGTTTCTCATAGGAAATGCTCTTTTCTTTTTAACTATCCTTACCAAAAATACATCCTTATATCCATAACTTTCTTCATATTACTCTCCTACTTATGGATTCCTGTCTGTCTTGTTTCTATTTCCATTCTAAATATACTTTTCGAGGCAACCTTTAAGTAACCTCTGAACTGGACAAAATTATTCTATTTTCTCAGTAAGAAACATATTTTTATGCCTTGTAATTTCATTCATCAAAACACATCTTATTTTGGTATACTTTGTGATATGATTTGGCTGTGTCCCCACCCAAATCTCATCTTGAATTGTAGCTCCCACAATTAACACATGTTGTGGGAGGGACCTGGTGGAAATAATTGAATCATGGGAGCAGTTTCCCCCACAAATTTCTCATGGTAGTAAATAGGTCTTACGAGATCTGATGGTTTTATAAGAAGTTTCCCCTATTGCTTGGCTCTCACTCTGTCTTGCCTGCTGCCATGTAAGACTTGCCTTTTGCCTTCCACCTTGATTGTGAGGCCTCCTCAACCACGTGGAACTGTGAGTCCCTTAAACCTCTTTTTCTTTATAAATTACCCAGTCTTGGATATGTCTTTATCAGCAACATGAAAATGGATTAATACACTTTGTATACAGAATTATATATAAATTAATTAGGATTTTATTCTTAGTAACCTTAATTTCTAGTGAAAACCTAGGAAGCCAAAAATTTTGAATTCTCTGTCACATATCAGCATTTTGTAATAAGAACTATTTTATAATTTTTAGAAGCATGTTTTAATAGACTCAAATATATTTAAGAAGCTGAAAACAACTTATATTTATGTTCAGCAATTTGTTCTTATTTTTATGGAAATGACCCAGACATTTGATGAGTGTTTTTTATTTAATGTAACATAGCATAACCTTATGATTTTAAAGTACATGAAAAGTTATTTTATAAACATTTATTCCACATTCCATTTATTCCAAATGTTTATTTTATAAACTTTTTTTTTTTTTTTGAGATGGAGTCTCGCTCTGTCGCCCAGGCTGGAGTGCAGTGGTGCAATCTCAGCTCACTGCAAGCTCTGCCTCCCACATTCACAACATTCTCCTGCCCCAGCCTCCCGAGTAGCTGGGACTACAGGCGCCCGCCACCATGCCCGGCTAATTTTTTGTATTTTTAGTGGAGACGAGGTTTCACCGTGTTAGCCAGGATGGTCTCGATCTCCTGACCTCATGATCCACCCACCTCGGCCTCCCAAAGTGCTGGGATTATAGGCGTGAGCCACCGCGCCCGGCAAACATTTACTCCATTTACATTTACCTAATTTACTGATTTTTAACAATTCACCTAGATTACTTATGAAAACTGAAATATTACACAAAGCGAATCATCATTTCAAGTTATTGTCCTGTTAACCATTTTTGTATTTTGTGAATATCAGGTGTTTGTTTAAGTAAGAGCCTGAAAGTAAAATACACAAGTATTTTGCCTGTAACTCAGAAGCTACAACTGTTTTTATTAAACCAATATTAAATTAGTCCTACTTATCAAGGAGTTACACAAAGATTATTCTGTTTTCAAGTTGACTTCATAGCTTCATGACTTTAAAACATGTAGCAGAAACAAATACAAAACCCAGCCAAAAATGTATGCTGCCAGTTTCGAAGATATTTCCATTTTTATTTTACCAATGATTTAAAAACCATCTTATTTATCAAAGTTTTATTTAAGTCACAGGAACTAAAAGGCATTTGGGTTAATTACTATATATTTTATATGTGTGATAATTCATCTAAGCCAATCAAAATAAAATTTCTTAGGAGTTTTTTTTTTGGCCAACTATTCCACATTTTACTATGTAGATACAGCATAACATATATTATCTAACATAATGCATGTTATATAATATGTATTATTCATATAACATGTTATTCTATAACATGTATTATTCGTGTTCTATGAATATACTATGAATATTATATTTCATTATACATTTTATTTTACATTTCTTAGATTTTACTATGTAGACATAACATATATAAAATGATAAATGTTATATGTATTATTCATGTTATGTTATATGAATACTATTCATTGTTATATCCATTAATATTCAATAATTATTGAATATTATTAATTTATTAATATTAATATCAATTATTTAATTTAACAGTGTTAAATTATTGATGGTATTTAATGATTTGATAATATTAATATTTATAATGCAATAATAATGTTCTATAATATAATATGTATTATTATAACACCTATTCCAGATTTTACTTTGTAAATACAACATAACATATTATATAACATAATACATGTACATGTTGGTAACCACACCTAAACACATAGACATACATACACAAAGATCTTACTGCTTTTATTTTAGAATTTTAGCCATGAGATAGTAATACAAACTCACCCATTTATAAACAACGATTGCATTCAAATTATATTTCTCTCAAAATTGGGACCTTTTTACATAGCTAAACTTAAATGCTAATCTAGTGAAGGCTATGGATCAAAGTTTTGGATAAAGCAGTTTGATTTTTTAAAAAACCTCTTTTACCTTTTTTTGTTTCCTTTCTTCAGCTTCAAATGAGTTTACATTTTAGCTGGGAGTGACGAATTGTATAAGAAAAACAAAATCTCCAGTGGCCTTGAATTAGTAACACATTTATCTTTGTTCACTGATCCCCTTTGCTAGTCAATGGTTATGGGGAAGCATCTTAACAAGAGTTTTGTTTTCCAGCTATTTTTTTTTAACGGCCCCTGTGTGGCAGACACAACAGTTTTTATGCTGGAAAGAGATACCTTATATTACTGTTCTGACCTCAAGATTTTGACCTGAGAGCCTAACCTTCATAATGATTTATCTAATTTTTATTATTTTAGGCTATCAGTCCCCTTAGTTAACTGCTCTAGCATCCTAAGCAATTGGTAGCCAGGCAAACCCAAATTTACATTTGCAAAAGATGTCTAGGTTGTTGGTTACTTTGGAGCTGTTGTAATATGTAAAGCCATTTATTTAAAAGCCCTTTAAGACTTTTTTTTTTTTTTAATCTTGGCTAGAATGCCATAAGCACTGAATTTTATCTCAACACCAGCAGAAAAGTCAACTGATTTAGGCCAGGCACAGTGGCTCACGCCTGTAATCCTAGCACTTTGGGAGGCCAAGGCAGGTGGATCACTTGAGTTCAGGAATTCGAGACCAGCTTGGCCAACATGGTGAAACCCCGTCTCTACTAAAAATATAAAAATTAGCCGGGTGTGGTGATGTGCACCTGTAATCCCAGCTACTCAGGAGGCTGAGGCAGGCGAATTGCTTGAACCCTGCCTGGAGGCAGAGGTTGCAGTGAGCCTAGATCGTGCCACCGCACTCCAGTCTGGGCTATAGAGCAAGACTCTGTCTCAAAAATAAAAAAGAAAAAGAAAAGTCACCAGATTTAAAGTAGGCAGTAAAAAAAGTAGAGATAGAGAACTAAGAAGGCTCTGTTATCTATATAATCACAAACTCTTAATTTGGGGAAAAAAAAACCAAGAAAATAGAAAAAAGAAGCTTGGGGAGTTCAAATAATCTGTGTTGTGGCTGTTGATCCAAAAACATGCATGAGGAAAGCCTTGTAATTAGCTGGAGTCTCTGAAAACCTGGCACACCTTCATGTGGGAGAATCCCATTCTATTTCTTATCAATCTCTTGAGAGCAAAGAAAATTCCATAAATCCTATCTGAGAATGTCAGGATTTTGGACTTGTGTCTCTTCCTGTGACATTTTGGTAATGTTCATTGTTATTATATCTGATTTAAAATACTACATAAACTTAGTTGATAAAGCAGGGGCAGGATTTGAGAAGATTGGCTCCAATTTTGAAAGAAGTTCTATTGTAGGTAAGAATTATCAAACTGCATCAATTGCTACAGAGAAACTTTTCATGAAAGGAAGAGTCGATCCATGTGGGAAACTTCATTGTTACCTTATTTTAAGAAATTGGCCACAACCACCCCAACCTTCCAACAACCACCACCCTGATCAGTCAGCAGCCATCAACACCAAGACAGGACCCTCCACCAGCAAAAGGATTGTGACTCACTGAAGGCCAGGTGATCATTAACATTTTTTAGAAATAAAGTATTTCTTAATTAAAGTACGTATTTTTTTAGACATAATGCTGTTGTACACTTAACAGAGTACAGTGTAGTTTAAACATAATTTTTATATGTATCGGAAAACCAAAAAATGTGATTCACTTCATGTGGTATTCACTTTATTACAGTAGTCTGAAACCAAACCCACAATATCTCCAAGTTATGCCTGTATATATATCTGTCCAAATACATATACACAAACAGGCACACACACACACAGAGCTCATTAGAACTCCAGGGAGAAATTGATAAGTCCATTTTCATCTTGGAATATTTAACATATTTTTTCTTTTTTCCTTTTTTTTTTTTTTTTTTTGAGAAAGAGTCTTGCTCTGTTGCCCAGGCTGTGGTGCAGTGGCATGATCTCAGCTCACTGCAACCTTCACTTCCCATGTTCAAACGATTCTCCTGCCTCAGCCTCGCAAGTAGCTAGGACTACAGGTGCCCGCCACCACGCCTGGCTAATTTTTGCATTTTTGGTAGAGATGGGGTTTCGCCATGTTGGCCAGGCTGGTCTCAAACTCTTGACCTCAGGTGATCGGCCTCCCACCTCGGCCTCCCAAAGTGCTGGGATTACAGGCATGAGCCACCGCACCCAGCCCATATTTTTTTTCAAATGTTGAAATATCAAAAGACAAAAATTACTAAGACTATAGAAGATTTAAACTACACAGTTAACATGTTGACTTATTGGGCAAATAAGGAACCTTGTACCTAATGATCTGAGAGTATACATCCTTCTTAGGCTCATATGGAACATTTATTAAAAAGAAACCAAGTACTAGACATCAATACATTTCAAAGAATGATATTATACTATAGTTCTCTGAAGAAAGCAAAATTAAATAAGAAGGCAGTAACAATAAGGTTTTTAAAAATCTATTTGATTACAATTGAAAACATACTTTTACATTACTCATGGTTCTAAACATAAATAATTTAAATTGAAAACTACTTAGAGCCTAAATGAAAATAAAAATAATATGTCAAAATTAGTGGGATAAAATAACATGTAAGGAAATGTATATCCTTAAATGTTTATATTAAAAAGAAGAAAAGTTGAAAATTAATAAGCCAAGTTTGCAACTCAAGATGATATATTAATATAAACAACGTTAGAGTTGGCCGGGCCTGGTGACTCATGCCTGTAATCCCAGCAACTTGGGAGGCTGAGATGGGAGGATCCCTTGAGTTCAGGAGTTTAAGACCAGCCTCAGCAACAAAGCAAGACCTCCATCTCTACCAAAAAATAAATAAATGGGGGGATGGGAGTGGGGCAGTGGTGGTAGCTACTCAAGTCCCAGTTCCTAGAGAGGCTGAGGCAGGATTACTTGAGCCCAGGAGCTCCAGACTGCAGTAAACTGTGATTGCACCACCGTACTACAGCCTGGGTAACAGAATGAGACCCTGTCTCTAAAAACAAAACACAACAGAACAGAACATTAAATTCAAATGCAATCAAATTGAAGTTGGTCAGCAAATTGATCAATAAAGTCAAAAGTTTGAAAGGGACCAATAAAATAGACAAACCTATGGCGAGACTCATCAAGAAAAAAGAAAGTGAACTCACCAAGAAATGAATAGGGGCACCTAATTCCAGATCCACTTACTCATTCTCTCATTGTTTTTGAGCAAGTGACTTCTGAGTTCTAGATATACAGCAAAGATAAAGCAAACAGTCTCAGTTGGTGGAGCTTTCAATCAATTAGCAGAATTGAAAAAAAAAATAGAATACTGTGAACAACATTATGTGAACAAATTTGAGAATTTTTGTTAAATGGACAAATTCCTAGAAATGTGTTACTTACCAAAACCGATTTAAGAAAAAAGTATAAAGTTTAGATTATCTTCTAGCCATTAAACCTTTTTAAAACAGTACCCCTAGACGGCAAGTAGAAATAAGTTCTACCAATTTTTTTTAATCCAAGGACATTTCCAATTTTAAATAAACTTTTCTAGAGAATATGAAAAGAGGAACACTTTTTAACCCATTCAGCAAAGCCAGGATATTATCAACACCAAAATCAGACAAAAAAAAAGTGCATTAGTCTGTTCTCATGCTGTTAATAAAGACATACTCGAGACTGAAACTAGGTAATTTATAAAGGAAAGAGGTGTAATTGACTCACAGTTCCACAGGGCTGGGGAGGCCTCACAATCATGGCGGAAGACGAAAGAGAAGCAAAGTCACGTCACAAAGACAGGAAGATTGCAAGCCAGTCTCACTCATGAATATAGATGCAAAAATCTTAAGCAAAATATTTAGCAAACCAAATCTAGCCATGTATAAAATAGATAATATATCATTGCCAAGTTGGGTTTGTTCCAGGAAAGACAAGAGTGATTTAGCATTGAAAAATCCACGTGTCATTCAGCATGTTAATAGATTAAAGGAGAAATACCAAATAATCATATAAACAGATGAAGGAAAGTTATTTGACAAAATTACGTGCTCATTCATGATAAAAACTCTCATAAATAGTAACTAGTGAAAACCTACAGTAAACTATTGCTGAGCATTTGCTCAGGGCCGTGCAATTAGTTGGAAAGAGGAGAGCGTGCAAGAGCACACACACATTTATGAAAGCATTTTGGTATATGAAGAGGCAACATACCTGATCATTGAAGAAATGATTAAGTTTTCCATAAACTGTGCTGAGACACCTGATTATCCACATGGAAAAAATTTAAGTGGATCCCTGTCTCATACCATGCATAAAATTAATTCCAGACGGATTAGAAACTTAGAAAGTGAAGGGCCAAATTAAACTTTTATTTTTTAAATGAAAAGGGAAACTGGCCTTAAGACTTCAGAATGGAGAAGTATGTATTCAACAAGACATCAAAAACGCATACCATAAATGAATGAATCCGTAAATTTAATCACATTGATATCAATAACTCAATCAAACAGGCATTAAAAAGAGAAAAGCAGGCCAGGTGCAGTGGCTCACGCCTGTAATCCCAGCACATTGGGAGGCCAAGGCAGGTGCCTCACTTGAGCTCAGGAGTTCGATACCAGCCTGGCCAACATGTGAAACCCCATCTCTACTAAAAATACAAAAATTAGCCAGACGTGGTGGCGCATGCCTGTAGTCCCAGCTACTCAGGAGGCTAAGGCAGGAGAATTTCTTGAGCCCGGGAGGTGGAGAGGTTGCAGTGAGCCGAGATTGTGCCACTGCACTCCAGCCTAGGCAACAGAGCAAGACTCCATCTCAAAAAAAAAAAAAAAAGAGAGAAAAGCAAAAGATACTTCAACACATGTAACTGACAAGAGAGCACTAAACAAAATATATAAGCAACTCTTAATATTGAATGATAAATCTGTAAAACATGTAAACAGTCCTTTCACTTGGTTGCCAGGCAAATGGCCAATAAACACATGAAAAGATATATAGCCTCGCTGTTCATCAGGGAAGTGAAAATTAAGACCACAAATAATTTTATAGCCACCAAATTGGAAGAGTGATACTATCAAGTCTCAGTTGACCAGTGGTCTGTTATGTCACCCATAGGAGTGTGTATGGATACACCAAATTGGAAAACACTTTGGCACTATATTGAAAAATTGAAGTGGAATATACCTTACAATCTGGGTCTTGGATGTAATAGGTCACAAATGGAGAAGTGGATGACTTTCTAAAGAAAGTCAGGTTCAGCCATCAGTGAGCGAATTACAACAGATAGAAGTAGTGCTTTGGAAGGCCTGTGTCCTCCTGATGAATGACATTTCTTGACCAGGCAGGGCACAGGAGACTTCTAAACTCTCAAGTCTTTTTATATCAAAAATAAAAACATAAAAATAAGTACAACTAAAAACTTTGGCAGGCCTTGAAAAGGGATAAAATTCTGAAGGTCAGGCATGGTGGTTCATGCCAGTAATCTCAGCACTTTGGGAGGCTGAGGCAGGTGGATTGCTTGAGCCCAGGAGTTTGAGACCAGCCTAGGCAACATAGTAAGACCCCCGTCTCTACAAAAAATAAAAAATTAGCCGGCATGGTGGCATGTGCCTGTAGTCTCAGCTACTTGGGTGGCTGCGGTGGGACGTTTGCATGAACCCAGGAGGCAGAGGATGCAGTGACCTGTGATTGTGCCACTGCACTCCAACCTGGGCAACAAAACAAAAAACTGACATATGCTATAACTTGGATGAACTTTGAGGACATTATGCTTAGTGACCTAAGCCAAACACAAAAGGACAAATACTGTATTATTTAACTTAAATGACTTATGTAAAGTGGCATGAAACATGCTACTTAAAATGGCATGCAATTTAAAATATGAATTATTTCTGGAATCTTCCATTTAATATTTTCAGACAGTGGTTGACCTCTGGTAACTGAAGTGGAGAAAAGCAAAACCCCGAGTAAGGAGAGGCTGTTGTACTCCCAAGGGAAGAACATAAAAAACAGCAATTAGGAGGTCCTTCGTAAACGCGGAACGGGATTGAAAAAACAAAAGATGGGAGGAAGCGGAGAAAAAGAATGAAAATAGGCCGGACACAGTGGCTCACGCCTGTAATCCCAGCACTTTGGGAGGCCGAGGCGGGCGGATCACGAGGTCAGGAGATGGAGACCATCCTGGCTAACACGGTGAAACCCCGTCTCTACTAAAAATACAAAGAAAAATTAGCCGGGCGTGGTGGCGGGCGCCTGTAGTCCCAGCTACTCGGGAGGCTGAGGCAGGAGAATGGCGTGAACCCGGGGGGCGGAGTTTGCAGTGAGCCGAGATTGCGCCACTGCACTCCAGCCTGGGCGACAGAGCGAGACTCCGTCTCAAAAAAAAAAAAATATATAGCAAAGATGCACTTTGACCAGGACTCTGAGACCCAGATTGGCCTGGTGGGACAGACGGTGTTCTTGGGTCATCCCTGAGGGCTCCACAGAAATGTCCAGGCACCAAGAGGACCCAGAGGGTCTCACCATCCCGCTCAGTCCCACCCGGGAGGTGAATCATCCCTTCATCCAGCATCTCCATGCTGTCTGCACTACTGGCCTGTGAATCACTTAGTAGCCATCTCAGTTATCAGATTGACTCTCTGGGATCGCAATGCTTGTGTTCAAGTCGCCCTAATTTTACTTCGTCATGGCTCCAAAGTGCAAAAGCAGTGGTGCTGACGTATTATAATTATTCAGTTTTATTATAATTTATTGTTATTAATCTTTCACTGTGCCTAATTATGAGTTAAACTAATCATAAGTATGTATGTATAGGAAAAAACATGGTATGGAGTTAGGTACGTGATACGGTTTGGCTGTATCACCACCCAAACCTCATCTTGAATTGTAGCCCCCATAATCCCCATGTGTTGTGGGAGGAACCCAGTGGGAGTTACGTAATTGAATCACGGGGGTGATTTTCCCCATACTGTTCTTGTGGCAGTGAATAAGTCTCATGAGATCTGATGGTTTTATAAGGGGTTTCCCTTTTCCCTTGGGTCTCATTCTTTCTCTTGCCTGTTGCCAATGTAAGCCATGCCTTTCACCTTCCACCATGATTGTGAGGCCTCCCCAGCCACACGGAACTGTGAGTTCTCCATTAAACCTCTTTTTCTTTATAAATTACCCAGTCTTGGGTATGTCTTTATCAGCAGCGTGAAAACGGACTTATACAGCACTATTGCATGGTTTCAGGCAACCATTCTGGGTTTTGGAATGTGTGCAGATACTACTGTAGACAGGGGGACCCTGCCTCTCCTGGTCTCCCTCAGCTCACACTCTGCTACTCCAAAGGAGAGTCAACCTGAGCAGCCCCCTGTGGGAAAAGCGGGAGCCCCATGCTGGGTCAGATGATTGAAAATGTCATTTAAAGCGAGAATCATAAAAATATTTTAACCTTGATTTGCTTTCTTTTCATCCACAGGCCAGGTTTTTTGATCTGCTAATTGAGTGCTGTATTATCTTGCATAAACCACCCTCATGCATCTTCTGTGGTTATCGGTGTCCTTTCATTCAAAGTGAAACAAGAACTTAAGGACTCTTCCAAAACAATTGGAGGACGGTCCTGGGTTAGTTCTATTTTCCCCCCTTTAGTCTCACCCACACCTAACACAAAAGCAAATTTGTTTAGGGACTTCTTTTCATTGAGCTGTTGCAAAGCGTTTAGTTTGCCTTTCAGGGAAACAGCAATTCTTTGTAGTTACATACCATAAACTCAAATAATATTTAATTAGATTTCCAATTGCATTAGAAACACAAGATAGAAAAACACCTTCGGTAATAATCACAGCTCACTCTTGCTGAGCACAGAGCCCATTTGTAGGAACAGACATCCTCTGACATCCTACTAGCGAGAGGCTTACCAGCCTTGGGCATCTACTTTGCCCTAGGTGTCCATGGAGAACTTTGTGCTAAGTAGAGGTTGGTTAAGAGAACTTCTAAGGGGAGAGGTGTTTTCACTGAAGAGGCAAAAGTGTATATCCTTTGGGAGCCAAGCAATCTTGTAAATTCTGATGACAGTTTTGCTTCTTACCAACTGAAGGACTTGAGTAAATCACTTAACCTCTCCCAGGTTCAGTTACATTATTGAGAAAATTGAGGCCATTATTCTTTGCCCCATTCTCAGCCATGCCCCTTGAGTGCTCCATAGAAATACACTTGACTTTACCTCAGTCTTTGTGTTTCAGGACCTTCATTGTTATCTCTTTAGTCCTTACGCTTGATAACTCAGCCTTCCCTGGCTGAGTCTTAAATTAAAAAGAGAAGGGAAGGGCCCAAGGGAGCATCTTTTTATCACTTTACCAGTGGCACAAACTCTTAGGAGACCAGAGTGTGTAGTGTGCTGGTTTACAGAAAGGAGCATGAGAGAATTCTGTGAAACTTTGCTCTAGTTCTTGAGCCTTTGATGGACCATTAGAGAATGAAGCTCTGGCCAGAATCAGTTGGTAATGACCAGGAAAGGGAAAGCAGAGGGTCTACCAATGGGTCTCTCTAGGGGTTTCTAGAGTCCCAGAGCTGAGTGAGCCATGGTTCCTGCTCTCAGAAAAGTCTCTAGTGAGACCTAATTGGTGAGTAATGGAAAATTCCAATAGAGTCTGCTAGGTGCTGTGATGTAAGGAAGTGAGGGAGCCTAACAGAGCAAGAGGAGGGACTCTAAAGAGGAGGGACTCTAAAGAGGAGGGACTCTGAGCCAGTTGGGGAGTGTGATGCAGAATCTGAATCTCAAGGAATTCAGATTCAGATAGGAAACCTGAGCTGAATCTTGATATCCAAACTCCCAGACACCTGAACTCTCTTCCTTCCCCATCTGCTGCCCTCACACTACCCCTCAGCCCCAAAACATCCTTGCTGCCCCTCTCCACAGTCCTGTGAAAACTGCTGCTCCTCCCCTGCTCATATCTCCAGAGCAGGGAGTAAGTGCAAGGACTACACGAGAAAGAGTGGAAACCCAAATGCAAGTTAAGAAGAAATAGATGCACACAGCTGGGCCATTGCTTCAAAAATGTTTATGTAGAATGCATTGAGCTCTTTCTGGAATCAACAGGAAGTACATTTCAGAGGAAGTTGTTGTGTCAAACCCCTGTGAACCTCATTAGGAAAGTCATCAGCTCCAAGAGGCTGAAGAAGAGACCCAGAGACAGCAAACCAGAACCAGACATGGTTTATTTTTATTTTTATTTATTTATTTATTATTATTATTTTTTTAAACAGTCTTGCTCTGTCACCCAGGCTGGAGTGCAATGGCGCATTCTCGGCTCACTGTAACCCCCACCTCTCAGGTTCAAGCAATTCTGCCTCAGCCTCCCGAGTAGCTGGGATTACAGGCATGGTGGTGCACGCCTGTAATTTTTGTATTTTTAGTAGAGACTGGGTTTCACCATGTTGGGCAGGCTTGTCTTGAACTCCCGACCTCGTGATCCACCCGCCTCGGCCTCCCAAAGTGCTGAGATTATAGGCGTGAGCCACTGTGCCCGGCCGACATGGGGTTTTATCGGGATTACATACAGGGGAGAGAGTCCAGCGGCAGCAGGCTGGACAGGAGAGCTGCCTTATGTACAGAAAGAGTCCAGTGGCAGTGGGCTGGACAAGATACCTGCCTTCGTACAGCCCAGTGGCGGTGGGCTGGGCAGGAAAACTGCAATTATCTGCAAACATCACGCAGTTTATATAGCATTTTCACTTAACACTCTCCCACTAATGACCTTGATACGGTTTAAATCTGTGTCCCCCTCCAAATCTCATGTTGAAGTGTAATCCCCAGTGCTGGAAGTGGGGCCTGCTGGGAGGTGCTTGGATCATGGGGGTGGTTTCTCATGAATGGTTTAGCACCATCCGCATCGTGTTGTTCTTATGATAGTGTTCTCACAAGATCCGATTGTTTAAAAGTGTATAGCATCTCCTCCCTCTTTCTCTTGCTGCTCTGGCCCACATAAGACATGTGTAAGTTTCTGCCATGCCCCTTCTGCCATGATTGTAAGTTTCCTGAGGCCTCTCTAGAAGCAGATGCCACTATGCTTCCTGTACAGCCTGCAGAACCATGAGCCAATTAGACCTCTTTATAAATTACCAGCCCTCAGGGTTTTTTTGTTTTTGTTTTTGGAGACACAGCCTTGCTCTGTTGCCCAGGCTGGAGCACAGTGGCGTGGTCTTGGCTCACTGCAACCTCCACCTCCCAGGTTCAAGCAGTTCTCCTGCCTGAACCTCCCAAGTAGCTGGGACTACAGGCACACGTCACTACGCCTGGCTAATTTTTGTATTTTTAATAGAGACGAGGTTTCACCATGTTGGCCAGACTGGTCTCAAACTCGAACCTCAAGTGATCTGCCCACCTCAGTCTCCCAAAGTGCAGGGATTACAGATGTGATTTCTTTATAGCAATGTAAGAATGGACTAATACAGAACTCTAACTGGCAACCTTCATTTAACCCAAAACTCAGGACTTTGGTCCCATATATGGGCTCAGATGTTCCTTATAGACAAGGAAGGAATCTCTGGGTTGGCCACTCCTAGATTGTCTAGCTCAGAACACACGTTAAGATGAGTCTGCTGGCTGGGTGCGGTGGCTCACGCCTGTGATCCCAGCACTTTGGGAGGCCGAGGCGGGCAGATCACAAGGTCAGGAGATCGAGACCATCCTGGCTAACACAGTGAAACCCCATCTCTACTAAAAATACAAAAAAATTAGCCGGGCGTGGTGGTGGGCGCCTGTAGTCCCAGCTACTCGAGAAGCTGAGGCAGGAGAATGGTGTGAACCCGGGAGGCGGAGCTTGCAGTGAGCCAAGATCGCGCCACTGAGCTCCAGCCTTGGCAACAGAGCGAGACTCCATCTCAAAAAAAAAAAAAAAAAAAAAGATGAGTCTGCCATACAGGGTCGTTCTAAGGGTTGCTTAAGTTGCTGCTCTCAGGTGTGTTTATCCTACAGAAGTGAGCTGTCACAGCTTCATTGTGGGCCTCAAAAGATGAAAAGGAGTTTTCCAGGATGATTGGCTGGGAATGGTGTTCCAGGCATGACCTCACTTAATCTTCCCAAGTCTCACAAGGTAAATCTTTTTTCATTTTATAAGTCAGAAAATGAAGGATCACACAGGTTAAGTCACTTTTCTTGCCCAGTCACACAGCTAAATATGACAGAGCTGAGATTCCAACTCACATCTGTCTGATTCCAAGTCCGCAGCATTTTCCTCTGATACAGCAATGAGTTTCTACCTGAAAATATTTTCCAATGAAAACATGATATATAACATAATGACTGTATAGAACTATTGTATGGGACTGTATACAGTCCCTCTTGTGTAGGGCTATTCTGCATGAACTCTGTTTGGATTAAGTGGGTTTTAGAGGGTTAACTCCAGAACAGAGCCCCTTAATAATACTATATCCTTGAAAGGACATTTGAATTTTTTTTTTTTTTTTTAAGATGGAGTCTCACTCTGTCGCCCAGGCTGGAGTGCAATAGTGCAGTCTCGGCTCACTTCAAGCTCCACCTCCCGGGTTCACACCATTCTCCTGCCTCAGCCTCCCGAGTAGCTGGGACTACAGGTGCCTGCCACCACACCTGGCTAATTTTTTGTTGTTGTTGTTGTATTTTAAGTAGAGATGGATTTTCACTGTGTTAGCCAGGGTGGTCTCAAACTCCTGACCTCATGATCCACCCGGCTCGGCCTCCCAAAGTGCTGTGAGCCACTGCACCCGGCCAGGACATTTGAATTTTAAACAACAGACTCAGAGGCTGAATTTTAGACCCCAGTCCATTTATAAATTGGTAATTGAGTACACCTAAAAGAAAAATCCTAAAGCAGAAGAGAAAAACCAAGAGAAAAGATGCCAGCCATAGGAGGAAATGATATATCTTCTTAGGGGCAATTTATAGCATTTGCATAAAAAAAGTAGCCCATAACTCAAGCATTGAAACATTTTATAATAGTTAGAGTTGTGTCAGTTTCTACATCTTTGGGGGAAGATGAGGGGCTACCATATATCAGCATACTGAACATGTCACAGCTAAGCAGACTACAGTGAAAAATGAGGCAGGGAAAACACAGGGTAATAAGAATGATGAATGTTAAGGTTGATTTTGGAGGATTGGGATGGATCAAGGAAGAAAAAAAAACAGTTGGTTTTGGGGGAGAAGATCTAAAATCTCGAATTACTACCTTCTAGTCAGACTTCTCTTTCACTTCAGGCCAGTGCCGGTTTCATTTCTTTCATTGTATGACCTGCGTCCAAGGGCTGTCAGTGTTTTATGATCTCTTTGTGCACTGCTGTGACCAGTAAACTCAAGGAGTCCTCAGGATTAAATATGAGGCAGCTGGCTCCTGTTTAAGTACCCTGTCCTTTGGGACTATTGCCCTGTGGCTTGTATGCGGGATCTCTCATTCCCCCAGCAGACATGGCAGAGCACCCACTCTGGGCCAGGCTGTCACTGAGTTCTTTAACTCACCCTAACCAAGTCTTTTCATCTGAAAAACTAGGAACTTTTCCTCATGAGTCTAAAGTCATCCTCATGACTTTATAGAAGAGATGGAAAGATTAAAAGGGACAATACATAAAGCAGTACAAGGCTTTGAGACATTGTAGTAAACCTATTATTCTTTTTTGTATAATTTTTTTTTCTTTTTTGCGACAGTTTCACTCTTATTGCGTGGGCTGGAGTGCAATGGTGCAATCTCGGCCCCCCTCAACCTCTGCCTCCCGGGTTGAAGCGATTCTCCTTCCTCAGCCTCCCAAGTAGCTGGGATTACAGGCATGGGCCACCATGCCTGGCTAATTTTGTATTTTTGGTAGAGATGGGGTTTCTCCATGTTGGTCAGGCTGGTCTCAAACTCCCGACCTCAGGTGATCTGCCTGACTCAGCCTCCCAAAGTGCTGGGATTACAGGTATGAGCCACTGGGCCAGGCATCTTTTTTGTATAAATTTAAGTGGTACAAGTGCAGTTTTGTTACATGGATATATTACATAGTGATGAAGTCGGGGCTTTTAGGATAACCATCACCCAAAATAATGTACATTGTACCCATTACGTAATTACTCATCCATCTCCCCTCTCCCACCCTCTCAGCCTTCAGAGTCTCCAATGTCTGTTATTCCATGCTCTTTGTCCATGTGCCCTCACTATTTAGCTCCCACTTAAAATGAGAACATGTAGTTATTTAGCTTTCTGTTTCTGAGTATTTCACTTAAAATAAGGCCTCCAGTCCTATCCATGTTTTCATTCCTTTTCATGGCTGAATAGTATTCATATATATATACCTACACTCCACATTTTCTTTCTACGTTAAGCCATTGATGGACACTTAGGCTGACTCTGTATCTTTGCTATTGTGAATAGTGCTGCAGTGAACACACAAGTATAGCTATCTTATTGTTACAATGATTTCTTTTCCTTTGGGTAGATACTGAGTAGTAGGATTGTGAGATTGAATGGTAGCTCTGTTTTTAGTTCTTTGAGAAATCTCCATGCTGTTTTCCATAGAGATACTAATTTCCATTCCCACCAACAGTGTATAAGCATTCTCTGGGAATAGTTTCCATTTGGCTAGTGGGCAGACACATAAAAAGGCACTCTTCCTACTCCTCTGTTCTGTCTTGTTTCTTTTGTTTTCTCTTCTCTTTCTTTCTTTTCTTTTTTTCTTTTTCTTTTTTGATATGGAGTCTCACTCTATTGCCCAGGCACAGTGCAATGGCATGATCCCCGCTCACTGCAACCTCTGCCTCCTGGGTTCAAGCAATTCTCCTGCCTCAGCCTCCCAAGTAGCTGGGATTACTGGCACACACCACCATGCTGGTTAATTTTTGTATTTTTAGTAGAGATGGGTCTTACCACGTTGGCCAGGCTGGCGTCAAACTCCTGACTTCAAGTGATCCGCCCACCTCAGCCTCCCAAAGTGCTGGGATTACAGGCATGAGCCACCACGCCCGGCCAACTCTCTTATTTCAAAGAAGGGAAATAGAGACACACAAAGGTTAAACACCTTGCCTAAGGTTAAACACCGGTTGGTGGCACAGCTGGGATAGTACCTGACCTTCACATCATGTGTCCTTGGATCATGCCAGAGAATGGCAGGCTAAGCAGACGGGACCTTGGGTGACTTAAGCTTGAGTCTGTTGTCTTCCCTCAGCACTCATCCATTTTTTGCTCCTGGATAATTTTCAGAACTGAACTCTTTTGAGTTTTATTGATTTCAGTTGTCCTTCATTGGCTTTTTACACATAGCTGATAAACTTCCAATGCAGTTATTGCTAGAAACAACAAGATTCCTAGAAGCAAAGTGATGTCTCTGGAAATTTTACCCTATGACAGCATTTTCCAGAGTGTATGTCCAAACAGTTCTAAGAGCTGTTAATTGGACTTATTTAAAATGGGGAACTGGGGAGGAGGATGGGGAGAGCGGAGTTCTATGTACTACATACCAAATACTGTATTAGGAAGTCCTGCAGCCAGAAAATCTGATTGATTTTGTTGATCCCCAGCATTTCCCACATCTATTTTATATCAACACACAGGAAAGACTCCCCTTTGATTACAGAATGCCTGGTAGGACAAGTTCCTTAGAAGCCCACACTTCCTTACATAAATACTGGCTCTATTAAGAAGAACACAATTTTGAGCAAAGGAAGCGCCATTGTAAAGCAGTATTTGGCGACCATGGACATTGAGCCACTAACTGAGAGCCTCCCCTATAGAAGGCTCAGGTGCATGATATTAACACTGGGCCTCAGAAAGCCGGAGGGCTAGGCAGAGAAAGGGTGGTCCAGGAGGAGTTAGAAGATCTACTTTTGAGATTCTGGAAAAGACCATAAATTGAATGGATCATGGGTTCATAACTTGGCCGTGATCAGAGAAGAGTAACCAAGGTGAGCAAGAGACAAAGGTTTAATTTTCCAGTTATCACGAAGGGGACAGGCAGGTAGCATATCCAGGTGTACATTTGAAGATCCAAACTATCCTTGAGGAAAGGGCTGCAAAACACATTTCAGCCTAGCAAGCTACCCAGTATTGAGTGCCCGTTGTATGCAAGGGTTTGAAGACACTTAGTGAAGTTGAGGATATAGAGACAAGTTCATCATAATTCCTGCCCTGAAAGAGCCTTACAAACAGGGGATACAGAAGTTTCAACTGCTAATTTCCACATAATGTGAACAATACTGTGCAATATTGCTTAGAGGTATCCAGGTCAGAAATGAAGGTGCTACATAAAAAGGGATAGTACGAATGAACACAGGGGCCTAAAAGATCATGGTGTCCAGAAATAACAAGGAGATAAGCAGAGAGTTCAGGCTGTGTACTAAGGAGCTTGGAATTTAAACTATGGGTCACAGTACTAAAATACTTCTTATCTGACCTATTCCAATGCAAACATATTTTTACTGTGGTACATGAATACACTATAAAACAGAAAAGTTTCATTTTATTATATGTTTGAGTAATTTTAAGTTAATTTAGTAATAATAAACCCTTTTGCTCTTATGAAAAACATAAGTATTCATATGTTTAAACATAGCAATATTATTGAATGTGCTTCATTATTTTTGAAATGTTGGTTTAGTACTTTGTGACACAGTGTTTCATAGTCTTAGTTTTAAGGGCATGTTATACAAATACTAGAATTTAATGGCTATGACTGCAAAAAGGATCCCTCCTAAAATTCACAGATCCAAATGGAAAAAAAGTACATCATTGGCTGGCTGAATACATTTTATACTCATTGTTTCAGTTTAATCCAAAAGTCATACAAAAATATTTGTAGCATTCAGCTATTATATTTAAGTCTCTCTTGATGACCATCATTTGCTTTTGATAATTTATTAAATATTCTTTAGCATTTTGATAACACATTCAAAACCCACCATACAATAAGTCCTCACTTAATGTCATCGATAGGTTAACGGAAACTGTGACTTTTCAGTGAAACAACACACTATGTGCCATAGAAACTTAATTCTTGTTTATATCAACTAACAAGGTAAATTGATTTCTTTATAGTGTATATAATTTCACTTGAAGTTGCAGCCTCCAAGAACTTATCAACCTTAAGTGAAGACTGTAATTTTTTTTATTTGCAAGTTAATTTTCAAAGTTAAATCTATTTTGAAGTTTTCTAAGTATATAGAAATGAGGGCTTTGATAGGTAACATCATTTCTTGGCCTCACAATCCCATAACGATGGAAACAATTTCAAACATTTATTTTCTAAAAGCTCTATCCTGTTTCAGAGTTTCTGTCTGAAAGCACAATATTTACTTTCTCATTTGTCACCTTTCCACCGAAGGGTCAGATTTAAAGTGTGTGTGTGTTTTCAAAAGTGTGAGATAGAATACTACCAGCAACCATCCTTTCTTCACGTGTGCCATCTCTTACATGTCCTTTGCTTTGAGTTAGCCAGCAAAGCTGTGTGTTACAGATTTTCATTGCCACCTCTCATGTCATTAGAAAGTATTGTACAATTGTAATGCTATTTTTAGTCTTGCCTTTATAAAATTATCTAAATCAATGGCATCTAGCAGCGCTTGTGCCTGCTGGCCTCAGGTACTCTGTTGCAGGCTTGCTTAGCAATGATGGAGTCAAGGAATTCATTGCATGGTGCTGACTCTGTGACCTTACTCCATAATTCTTTTGTTATTCCAGTTAAAGCACTGTACCTCTAATGATTCCACATACTCTCTTTTCATAAAATATCGTTATCATTAAAGTAGGAATTTACTGCTCAGTGTATAACTCTGCAGGACAGCTTTCCTTTAGTGCTCACAAAAAAAGTCATTCTTTCTGTCTTTCATTCTCTAAACAGAATCTATCACGTAGCGTAAGCCTACACACAGTACTCTGTACTTTGATTTAATTCCATAGCAAATCTCCCATGTAATTCAGTCTAATACTAGTTGCTTCCATCCTTCAGCGTGGTTTTCTCTGACTCTTCCTGCAATATTTGCTGACAAAGGAACTTACTTCATTTTGTTACCATATTATCTTTGTGTATTTTTACAGCCATTTTTGCCAAGGCAAAAAAAAAAAAAGAAAAAAAGAAAAACAAGTATTCTCCTTACTGGACTTTATTGTCCTTTATTCTGATGAAAGAAATCTCTAAAGCAACTTCTAACCTCTTTTCACAGAGTTCAGTGAAACATTGTCAAGCTTAAGACCGACTTTCACAAGACTTTAAACATCATCCAGAAATTATGGTGACTTCATCTGCATATTCTGAATGCTTTGTTTTTAAATGTCTTGCTAATCACACATCTTTGTACTAACATTAAGTAATATATCAAGGCATAATACACAGTTTGAAGTTCTTCCTGAATGATAGTGGTTGTAAATTCATATTTCAAATAGTCTTGAAAATTTACATTTTTTGCCAGTTTCTTGTCAGATCCAATTAGGGAGTCATTTCTCTACTTTGTAATGTAGCTAAGGAAGAGCTTATACTGGGAACAGAAGTGTCAGCTCAGCTGTTTTCTTGCTATTCACATCAGCTTGTCTTATTGGTATTCTCAATCTGTAGCTCCTTTGTAGAACTCCCTTTTTTAATTATAAACTTTTATTTGGAAGGATGTTAGACTTAAAAGTTTAAAAGGTAGCATAAAGAGTTTGTATATATCTGTCATTCGGTTTCAATTTCCCCTCACATTAACATCTTTTTTTTGGTGGGGGTCGGGGAATGGAGTCTTGCTCTGTCGCCCAGGCTGGAGTGCAGTGGTGTGATCTCAGCTCACTGCAACCTCCACCTCCCAAGTTCAAGCAAGTCTCTCCCTGCCTCAGTCTCCCAAGTAGCTGGGATTACAGGCGCCTGCTACCACACCTGGCTAATTTTTGTATTTTTTTTTAAGTAGAGATGGGGTTTCACCGTGTTGGCCAGGCTGGTCTTAAACTCCTGACCTCAGGTGATCTGCCCACCTCGGCCTCCCAGAGTGCTGGGATTACAGGCATGAGCCACCATGCCTGGCCAGCATCTTCTAACAGTTGTACATTCATCAAAACTGACAAACCAACATCAATATATTGCTTTTCAAGTAAACTTCAAGCTTTCATTGTATTTCACTCAATGTTTCCATTTAAGCTTTATTTCCTTAGTCTCCTTGGGTCTGTCATAATGTCACAGTCTTTCCTGGTTTTTCGTGACTGACCTCAATAGTTTTGTGGAGTACTGGTCAGGTAGTTTCTAAAATGTCCCTTAAGTTGGTTTGTCTAGTATACTTTCTCACGATTAGACTGAGGGGATAGATTTTTGGAAAGACTATCACAGATGTGAAGTGCCCTCCTCCTCACATTGTGTCAGGAGGTACATGATGCCCACATATAACATTACTAGGGATGTTAGCCATTCTTATGTAGTAAAGGCAATGTTTGCTAGGTTTCTCCACTATAAAGTTACTAATTTTTGCCAGGCCTTGGGGGCTCACGCCTGTAATCCCAGCACTTTGGGAGGCTGAGGCGGGTGGATTATGAGCGCAAGAGATCTAGACCATCTTGGCCAACATGGTGAAGCCCCATCTCTACTAAAGATACAAAAATTAGCTGGGTGTGGTGGCGCGCACATGTAATCCCAGCTACTCGGGAGGCTGAGGCAGGAGAATCGCTTGAACCCAGGAGGCGGTTGCAGTGAGCCAAGATTGCACCACTGCACACCAGCCTGGGTGACTCTGTCTCAAAAAAAAAAAAAAGTTTCTAATTTTCCCTTTGATACTTTATTTTTTGAAAGTGAGTCATTATATCTACCCTGCAATGGAAGTGGAGGGATTAAGATCCATCTCCTCGCAAAGGGGGTAGTAGTATCTACATATATTATTAGAATTTCTCTGTAATTAAAGATTGGTCACTTTTTCTCATTTATATTTATTTATTTTAAAAATAATTTATGTCTATATATACTCATTTATTTTATACTTTGGGTTATAATGCAGGACTCTTCTTTAAGGCATTATTCATTTTGTGAGGGTTATTTTAATTCAATATTAGTAATTATAAAATAATATTATGAAATGCACTAAAAATAAGTAATAGTATGGTTGGTTGACAGAAGACTTTGCCAGATTCATTTAAACCCCAGAACACCTCAATATTTGAGAGCGCCATGCCACCATATCATGCCTTCTGCATTGATGCAGCTACATATGGGTGCTCACATGACTTAGCCTCTCCCCTCTCTCCCTCTCTGCCTTTGCTTTTCTCTGTTATGGCAGGGTGGCTTCCTGAGGCCTCCAGCCAGTAGGTAGAGCTTAGTCATTCAACAGATATTAATTGCACACTTGCTATGAGCTAGACACTGGTTACACAATAGTGAACAAGACAGTGCAGGCCTTTGCTCTTCTTGAACTTACATTCTAGTGCAGAATACAGCTATCACACAAGAAAACAAATGATCAATTGTCATTTCAGGCAAAACGTGCAATGAAAACATAAAGAAATCTAAGGCTAATGGAAGAGTGACTAGCACTCATGAACCCAAATTGAAGAGAGAAGCCCCTTTTCTCTTAATGTCTCCTCAAAAGGACTCTGTTGACCCTTCATGGGACAGGTATCCATGCAAGAACCCATCCCTGTGTTCTTAGGAATGGTCAGGAATGACTCACTGGTCAGCTGGAGTCCGTGTCTGGGCTTCTGGCTGGTCAGGCATGACTGACAGCCCCATTAGAGTCATGGGAAGAAGGCCTGATCTACTTCTGCAAAGGGCGGTGATGCGGGGCAGACAAAAGAGCAATAGTGGGCCTCACGGAAGGTGCCTGCTGGGAACCAGGAAGCACAGCTGCCTCTCCCAGGGTTTCCAAGCAGCGAATCCTACGGTGCCCACCCCCAAGGGCATGACTGAAATTCGGCCAAGTTAGCAACATCCCACGGGACTCAAGCCAGCTGCTCCTCCACCCACCTTGGTCAAATTCCTCAGCTAAGGATCCCATGCCAACCTCTAGAGGTGGGATCTGCTTCCTTCTAGCCTGCCTGTCCTCCAGTCACACCCCCGAGGAGGACACTGTGGGGAGGCTAAAATGTGAATACAGTCTTAGTAATTAATTCCATAGAGACAGGAAGAATACGGGCTGGTTATCACTCCTGGTCTTGTGTGGGTTGTCTGCAGGGAAGTCGCATAAAGGCAGCAGTCATTGAGGACACTTAACACTGTTTGCATCTTTTTTCATGTCCTGCTATCAAGACAGCATCAGGAATTCTTTGCATGTAACAGAATCCAGTTCAAATTGGTTTTTACCCCCATTTTATAGCATAAAGGAACCCAACACATTGAACATGATGAACATTAGAGAAAATACAGCTGAATTGTCTCATGGATTCATGACCTTCCCAGCCCTGAGTATTGTGAAAAGTCTTCATTTTCCTGTTGTCCTTTTATCCCCTCCTTAGCCTCTACCTCCTTGGGCAGGGAAAAATAAGAAATGTTACAGAGAACAGAATAAGCAATGATAGGATATAAGACAAGGCCTGGGATTCATGCATTGGCCTAAGTGTCTACATTTTCCAAGTGAGAGGACTAAGTCATCAATGAGTTGGGTCTCTTTTCTTCCCCTTTCCTGGATAATGATGTGTTTTTGTCTGGGAAGAAATTTTTCTTTTCTTTTTTGGCTGAGACTCCTAAAAACCAAAAGGCAATAGGAATCTGTGTGACAGGAGCCAAAGAGTTATGAGTACCAGGACCCTAGACTGCACTGTGGCAAAACTTCCATGGCTGAAAGAGATGTCTTGGTATAAAGGGCACCATTTTTATTTAATTTTTATTTAATAGCAGTACCTGATAATTGTCAGGAATTGGAAAGGAAAAGGAAGGGGGATGAAAGGGAAGCTTCAGCAGCTCATGGGGAGCATAAAAAAGCTGAGATACAATCCATGGGGAGTCAACAAACATTGACCAAGCCTCCTTTTGCATGCAAAGTTGGATAGAACACAGCTCTTGCATTGAAGGATCCAGCAGTCCGGGATGTTGGACAGTGTCACTTTAGCTAGTGCTGAGCCTCCCTCAGAGAGAATCATGTGGGAATGGAGCGTGTATATTCCACAGACTTGATTCACATCACAAGCACTGAGCATGGATCTGCTGCAGGCTCCATGGTGAACACCTATATTAGATTCTCCAGAGAAACAGAACCAATAGGAAATAGAATGTATATGTATCTGAAGATACTAATTATGAGAATTGACCCATGGGTTATGGAGGCAGAGAAGGCCCACCATCTGCCATCTACAAGCTGGATTCCCAGGAAAGCCAGTGTTATAATTCAATCTGAGTCTGAAGGCCTGAGAACCAAGGAAGCTGATGGTTAAATCCCTGTATTCGTCCATCTTCATACTTCTATGAAGAAATATCTGAGACTGGGTGATTTATAAAGAAAAAGAGGTTTAATGGACTCACAGTTCCACCTAGCTAGGTGGAGGCCTCACAATCATGGCAGAAGACGAAGGAGGAGCAAAAGCATGTCTTACATGGCGGCAGGCAAGAGGGCATGTGCAGGGAAACTGCTCTTTATAAAACCATCAGATTTTGTGAGACTTATTCATAATCAAGAGAACAGCACAGGAAAAACCCACCCCGATGACTAAATTACCTCCCACCAAGCCCCTCCCACAACACCTGGAGATTATGGGCACTACAATTCAAGATGAGATTTGGGTGGGGACACAGCCAAACCATATCGGTTCCAGTCTGAAAGGAGGAGAAGACTGATGTCCCAGCTCAAATAGTGAGCCAAAAAAAAAAACAAAAAGCAAATTTCTCCTTCCTCAGTTTTTTGTTCTATCAGGGCCTCAATGGATTGGACGATGGCTCCCTGTACTGGGAAGAGCCATTTGCTTTGCTGAGTCCACTGATTCAGATGCTAATCTCATTTGCAAACACCCTCACAAACACACCTAGAAATAATTGTTTCACCAAATATCAGGGCACACCATGATCCAGTCAAGTTGACACATAAAATTACCTACTACAATGCCATTACAGCTTTTGTTTCATTGATCCTATGCAGCAGGTATTATTATTTTATTTTAAGAGGTTGGAAAATAGAGGTTCAAATATAGTAGGTAGTTTGGAGTAACAGAAAAGGCAATGGTTTGAACCTAAGTCTTACCAGATCAGTGCCTTGCCCCTGCCCAACAGCACTCTTGATCTCTGCCTAGTACTTTTTTTTTGGGGGGGGGTGGGTGGGGGAGCGGGGACAGAGTCTCACTCTGTTGCCCAGGCTGGGGTGCAGTGGAGCAATCTTGGCTCATCGCAACCTCCACCTCCCATCTGCCCAGTACTTTAAACCCAATTTAAAGTGCCTGTGTTTCAGAATAGTCCCCTTTTCGGGTCACTCCTTGAAGTCTAGCCAGGAGGACCTGCCCTTGGCCTGGCTTCCTCTCTGGGCTGTGTTGTCTGTACCTTCCCTGTCCTTGCCCCTCAGGTTGTGTGACAATCTGCAGCCCCATATTTAAAATCTTGTTTCTTACTCCTCCTTCCCCCATAGAGGTTCTGTTTTCATCCAGCCTTCTTCATTGGTAAGGTGACTCTTTCATGAAGTCTAAACCAGATGTCTTTTATAACTGAATGAACACATGCAATATACCTTTATCTCCATCATTTCATCTGTCCTGATATTGACCACAACTTTGCAAAGTACTTGTGGTTCTTTGCAAAGTACTTAGGTTCAAACACCCCTTCTACAGATGAGGGGCTGTCTCTGTGATATTAGGCAACTAGGTGCAGGTTACATAGCAACTAAGTGCAGCTCAGAGCTGGAGCTGGGTCTGGCTTGTAGGTTTGTCTGCTCCTCCTTTTCTCTCATGTGTCATAATCCCGAAGATGACAAGGAAAAGGACTTGTGAAAATATTGTCCTTCTCTTTGAAAATCCAAACAAGGGGATAACAGCGGGAGCTTAAACTCCTTCAAGAAAAAATGACAAGCTCTTTGTCCCTTAGACAAAGAAAAGGGGAATATGTTTCTCCATTCCAAATCCCACATTAGTAGAGCTTTTATCACTGATTTACTGTAGACAGACAAAATGTGAGGATTATTGAGAATGTCATCATCATGATTTCCATTCTTGAACCAAAGGGCAGCTACTGAATACTAACTGCGTGCCAAGCACTGTGGCACTCCAAAAGAATAATAAGTCAAGTTCTTTACCAGCCTGGAAATTCACATCCCAATGCTGCCAGGTGCAGGCATGTAAATAAATAATTACAAGAAGCATGCAATGAGTTCTCTAATAGAGCTACCTGCAAGAGCCTGTAGAGCACTGAAGAAGGACCTAGCAATTGCCTAGGGTGTTATGTTAGGAATGCTTACAATGAGAATCAGAAAACTCAATATGCAGTGGCTTAAAATAAAGTAGGGGGTTTGAATTTCTTACCTGAGAACTCTAGAGTAAGCAAACACAGACACTGGCTCATAGGAGAGCAATGTGTTGACCTCTCATGGTCACAAGATGGCTGTCATGGTTCTAGTCATCACATCTCTGTTTACGATAGAAAGGTGAGTGAAGTGAGAAGAGGACACTAGCCATATGTGAACCTTTTTATTAGGAAATCGAATGCTTCCCTATGTAACTTTTTGGGCATTCCTAGGTCACGTGGCCACCCCTGGCTGCAAGGTAGTCTGGGAAATCAGAGACTTGGATCATCATGATTGGCTTGGATCTTGGGTCATGATCCATTCACAGGGGCAGGGGACATTGCAACTACAAACAAAGTTAGTGTTCTGTTAGGAAGAATGGGGTGGAGGGGGAGACACACAAGGAGGTGTCAATGTGAGTGTTCAGGAAAAGCTTTGCAGAACATGTGCATTTGAGCTCAGCCATGAAGGATGAGCTGGCATTGGTAGAAAAGAAGGTAGGAGGCCAGGCGCGGAGGCTCATGCCTGTAATCCCAGCACTTTAGGAGGCCGAGGTGGGCAGATCAACTGAGGTCAGGAGTTTGAGACCAGACTGGACAACATGGCGAAACCTCGTCTCTACTAAAAATACAAAACATAGCCAGGCGTGGCGGCGCATGCCTGTAGTCCCAGCTACTCGGGAGGCTGAGGCGGGAGAATCGCTTAAACCGGGGAGGTGGAGATTGCAGTGAGCTGAGATCGCATCATTGCACTCCAGCCTGGGTGACAAGATTGAGACTCTGTCTCAGAAAAAAAAAAGAAAAAGAAGAAGGAGGAGGAGGAGGAGGAAAGAAAGAGAGAGAGAGAGAAGAGAGGAAGGAAGGAAGGAAGGAAGAAAGGAAGAGAAAAGAAGGTAGGGTATTGTAGAGAGAAAATAAGGACATTCTAGCAAGGGGGAGAGCACAGGGAAAGGCACAGCATCATGAGAGACAGGTTTAAGAAATACTAGGATTGCCTTTTAGCCTGGATATAGAGCTGGAATCATAAGTGGGAGGCAGTTTGCATCAGGCCTACCTATCAGGCTAGGTGTTATTCTGTGGGTCATAGAAGGTCAGTTGGAGTGTTGAGATGGAGACCCATTTTCTAATGCCTCTTATCCCAGTAACTTGGAAGAGATAAGATCCATGTTCTTATTCACCTGGCCATTTGCACACAGGCTCTGATTTCTTCACTGTTTTGCACCATTAATTACTTTTATGAACCCTCTGGGGTCTAAGTGCATCAGAAGTATTGGCTGGACTCTTTCCACAGCCTTGTCCTTGCACTGAGGTCTTGTTTCTGCCTTTGAACTGCTTTCTTCTGTGCCCTTGATGGGTGATAGAGTTTCTCGTGTCTCCTTTAATCACATGGACTTCTGCTGCCTTCCCAGATGATGTTTAAGTTTCCTGGACAGTAATCAATTTCTGTCAATTTTCTCTGGCTCAGTAGAGGCCGACTCCAAGTCGGCACATATACTCAGCCTTTATAGGCATTTCAGATCCAATCAGATCACACCCATGGGGCCCCTGATGCTTGGCAGCTCCTGCAGCCCACCTGGCATGCAACTTCCATGCCTCCCTCTCTCTGCTTCCTGCCAGACTGGAGGCTCTGCCTGTGTATCTGGGAAATCCTAAATCATCCTGCAGCCTTAGTATCCCAGGGGTGGGTATTAGAAGGGGAAAGTAGGTTTCATTTCTGATCCTGTCATCTTTTGTCAATCTCATGTTCATTTAATGATGACAGATATGGGAGAAATAAGGGACACAGAATTCTAATTTTTCTATCTGCTTGGGTTCAAATCCTGACTCTCCTACTTTCTAGCTGTGTAACTTCAGGCAACGTGCTAAACTTTTCTCATCTGACAGGTAACATAGTAAGAGCATCACTTGTCTCATAGAGTTGTGTAAAGAGTAAATGAGCTATCAGAAGCAAAGTTTTCAGAGCAGTGCCTGGCATACAGTAAGTGTCTGATACATGTTAGCTGCTAATAATAATTATTATTATTACTACTTGATAATGTGCCTCAGAAAGTGGAACAAGTTATCACAGATTTTCATCACAATCCTTGTAGATCCACATGCACTTATCAGCTCCTTACAAAAATCTATTTTGGGTGCATTCTCCAGTGTCACTCTGTCTCAGATGTGAAAGCCTGTCAATAAATGCCTACACCACCAGCTTTTCCTGCCCCCAAGCCAGCAATGATGGCTGATCCTTTCCCTCAAGGGACCAGGACAAGACATTCTTTAGCAGTCACCAGCTTGCTGCCCCCAAGCCAACAATGATGGGTGATCCTTTCCCTCAAGGGACCAGGACAAGACATTCTTTAGCAGTCACCAGCTTGCTGCCCCCAAGCCAACAATGATGGGTGATTCTTTCCCTCAAGGGACCAAGACGTAACATTTCTTAGTAGTCAGACAAGCACTGATAAAAATATATATATATATCAGCAACACAGATCCTGAGTCAGATTTTCAGAGTGAGAGATGTGGTTTAGTGGAAAGAGCAGTGGCCCAGGAGACAGAAGCTGGCCTCTACTTCTACCTCTGCTGTGTGACTCTCGGTAAGTCACTTTCCGACTCTGGGTCTTGGTTTCTTTCCACTTAATGCGCCCTTCCCAGGAAAAATCACCAACAGCCTCTTTAAATGCACGTTATCATACTTGTAGTTTAAAATGGACAGTTTTGTGATACCTTCCTCTCTATCTAAGTTGTAAGTTTCAGGAAGAGAGTATGGTCTCTTGTGTGTATCTCTGCATTCACAGCCCCCAGATCAGTGTCTGGCACAAAATCAGTGCTCATCTTACTATCTGTTGAATAAATAAATGAGATATAATAGAAAGAAAATCATTTCTGAGTGTGATGGTTAAAACTGAGTGTCAACTTGATTGGATTGAAGGATACAGAGTATTGATCCCAGGTGTGTCTGTGAGGGTATTGCCAAAAGAGATTAACATTTGAGTCAGTGGGCTGGAGAAGGCAAATCCACCCTTAATCTGGTGGGCAACATCTAATCAGCTGCCAGCAAATATAAAGCAGGCAGAAAAATGTGAAAAGGAGAGACTGGCCTAGCCTCCCAGCCCACCTCTTTCTCCCGTGCTGGATGCTTCCTGCCCTCAAACATCAGACTCAGTTTTGGGACTTGGACTGGCTCTCTTTGCTCCTCAGCTTGCAGACAGCCTATTGTGGGACCTTGTGATCGTGTAAGTTAAGACTTAATAAACTCCTTTATATATCTACCCTATTAGTTCCGTCCCTCTAGAGAACCCTGACTAATATACTGAGCAAGACAGATCTGATTTTGTTTTAAGCTTGAGCATGTACTCACTTAGTGACCCTGGGCTAGTCTGAGGCTCAGACTCATCCTCTGTAAAATGAAGATAATAATAGAAATCACCATACCAGGTTGTTTTGATTGAATGTGATCCCACAATCACATTCATGAATTTTGAGGGAGAGTGGGAGACAGTCCATTACATCTACTAAGCTATTCAACCCCTGCAGGAGAGAGTAAGGACAGTAGGGGGCTACTGAGGAAACGTGAGAGCTATTTTGTTTCCTCTATAATCCCATGATCACATTCAATGTAGAGAAGTAAATAATAGGTATTATGTATTTAATATCATATATATATATGGATACATACATACATAAAAAACCCTGGCCTGGCCGGATGCAGATGCTCAAAGTGCTGTAATCCTAGCCGTTTGGGAGGCTGAGGCAGGAGGCTCACTTCAGTTTAGGAGTTTGAGACCAGCCTGGACAACATAGTGAGACCTAAGCTCTACAAAAAATAAACAAAATTAGCTGGACATGGTGGTGTGTGCCTGTAGTCCCAGCCACTCAGGGGAAGGATCACTTGAGTCTGGGAGATTGAGGCTGCAGTGAGCCCAGATTGCACCACTGTACTCCAGCCTGGGTGATACAGCATAGACCCTGTCTCTAAAACAACAAACAAACAAACAAACAAAAAACACCAGCCTAATGTCTAGCATATAATGGGTATTGAATACATGGTAGCTATTTAGGTTGGTGCAAAAGTAATTGCAGTTTTTGCAATTTTTAATGGCGAAAACCGCAAGTACTTTTTGTACCAAACTAAATATTATTTATTTAGATCCTAGCACAAGGTAATGGAGTATTCTATGTCCTGATGATTAAAAACTCAGGTGCAAAATGTAAACCTGAATATACCTTAACAGATTTTTGGATGGGCTTGCCGATCAGAGGGAGCTGGATGGGAAAGCACTCTTCAGAACCGCCTTTGCTTGCCTAAGACCTCGCCATCCACTCCCCCATCTTCCTTCTTATGTAACACCAGCACTTGCCTGTAGTGAATACACAAACTAGACAGATGCAGAGCGGGATGAGGCTTGATGAGCTAACAGACGGCTTGCGGTGGGTTGTGGGGCACCAGGAGACCTGGGTCCTAGTCCCAACCCTGACTTGGCACAGACTCACCATGTGATGTTGGGCAGACTCATTTCTCTGTAAATTTCACTCTCCTCATCTGTAAAATGCTCAGCCCTTTAGGACTAGATATAATAGTAGTTAAGAACCTCAGGTTTGGGCTTCAGAGTTGACTTCCAGTCTCAGCACTGCAACTTACCAGCTGTGAGATACAGGCAAGTCACATACCATCTCCATAAAGTGGACAGTGGGATTCAAATGGGCTTGTTTGGAGGATTTAATGAGACCATGTCTCTTAAGTACCTGGCAGATTTGTGCACAATCCATTAAGCTTTGTTTGCGGGGTCCATAGGCCAGCCCTTCTTTTCACTTAGTTTAAGTTTCTCCCTGTTGAAGAAGCTTAACATTTCCTCAGTCAGATCCACATCCATCAACCTTCCTGCTGGCTCAGCACTTGGCAAGCACCGGAATCATTCGCAAAGACGACACGATCCCCCCACTGGGTGTGAGTGACACCAGCCCACATGCAATTATTTTAATGCATGGCCCAGGATCTTATGCCCAGATCAAATGTGTTCTCAGGGGAGAGTCTTCCCTCTCCTACCCTTCAAAAGGCACAAGAAGAAAAGCACATATTGCACACTCATACGTCCCTGAAATGTAAGCCTCATCGAATAGTTTCATCCCTGCCAGCCGTCTCTACTCTCCTGAATGCGGAGTGCTTGCTTTCTGACTGATGGCGGCAGGAAGGAGAAAGGAGGGCAGAACTCCTTCCCTGCCCCATCTTTGAGAGGGTAGGAAACCCACACTTATGGAACCACTCTAACATGGAAGCACTGAGCTAGGCATTTGTTTAACCCTCTTACCTACTTGCTGATCCCCACCTTGCACTTGAGGAAACAGGTTCCAAGAAGAGAAACGAGTTGTTCAAGGACACACACAGCTAAGTAAAGAGCATAGCTGGAATTCAGACCTCGGCTGGTCTGAGGTTCATAGTTCTTACTCTGGCTACTGTATCATTCGTTGTTGGTTATGGGAGTTCGTGGGGATGTGGTTTGGACCAAATAGGTTTCCCCATAATTCACTGTGCCATGAGAGAGAAAACTGGTCTTCTAGAGCAGTATTTATCCAGCCAACTTCAATGGGTATTGCTATTGCACATTGCCAAAATAGAGGACAGAGGGAGCTGGGTCTTCCAGTCCTCTCTTCAGATGGCAGGCTCTGGACCCTGCTGCAGACTCTCATAGATGGAACCCAACCAAAGGAGGGAAACAAGAAGTGACTGAGCTGTGGATACCCAGTTCCTTCCCTCAGTGTCGTAGTCCAGTCTGGCTGCTTGATGTTTATTTCTCAGTTTCTGGAGGCTGGGAAGTCCAAGGTTAGGGCGCTGGCAGATTTGGTGTCTGGTGAGGGCATGCCTTTCGGTTCATAGTCAGCACCTTTTCCATCTGTCTTCACATGGTGGAAGCAAGCAAGGGAGCACTTTGGGGTGTCTTTTCTAAGGGCGCTAATCCACTCACGAGGGTTCTTCCCTTGTGACCTAATGACTTCTCGAAGATCCCACCTCCTAATGTCATCACCTTGGCGATTAGGCTTTCCACATGTGAATTTTGTGGGGGAATGGGAGATAGTCCATTACATTTGATATACTGTTCAACCCCCACAGGAGGAGAGAGTAAAGGTAGTAGGGGGCTATTGAGGGAAAAGCTATTTCATTTCCTCTATAATCAGACAAAGCATGAAACAGAATGTTTTAAAAGCTTGGCTTCTGTCCTCCACAGTGTATAGGAAAGAATGTGGGCTTGGGAATCAGACATGCTTGTGTTTGAAGCCTAGCTCCCATGTTTACCAGCAAGGTGGCCATAGGCAAGTCACTTCTTCACTGTTTCTTCCCCTTTACGATTGCATGCCTTGCTAGGGTCATTGTGAGGACTAAAAGAAGCCAATGAATGTAAAACTGCTGGTGAAGTGTTCAACCCATGGGTGAGCCCCCCAGGAGAAGGCTCCCAGTCAAGGGCATGAGCAGTGGCCACTCAGTACAGGCTTCCCTTTCCCGTCACAGGTGTCCCATGGAGGGTTCTCTGGGGACTGTGCTCAGGTATTCATGCCGTTGCACTGGGCTGAGCCTTGCCTTGGTGTCTGCCAAGGAGCATTGAGAATATGATCATATATGACCAGGGCCACCTCACAGTGCAGTCCTCATGGGGTCTTTCCCTGGCTTAGCTGTTTTTGATGGTGTGTGATTTCCCTCACCTGGACTCAACCTGTCCCCTTGGACCCTCTGCCTCCACCCATCATTCAGGGTTCAGCTTATGTGGCTCAACTGTGAGAGGCCATCTGATTGGCCCAGCCATCAGTCTCCTGGGTCCCTGTGTGCTGATCTCAGACACAGTGCAAGCCCAGTGAGTAGTTAAGCAGGTGGACTCTGGAACCAGGCTTCAGAGGTTCCAAGCCTACTTTTCTGTGACCACAGGCAAATTACAGAGTCTTTCTGTGCCTCTACTTCCCCATCTGTAAAATGGAGTTAATAATCATGCTGCCCCATAGGCCTGTTGTGCGTATTAAATAAACTAATACAAATTATGTCTTGCTGATCATGGTTATTCTATAGTAATAATGAATCATTTTTAATACTAACAATGAATGCCACCAGATATTAATAATAAATTAAGGTGCTTTCTTAGAATAAATTTTAGTACTATTAAATATTCTAGGCCAGGCGTGGTAGCTCACACCTGTAATCCCAGAACTTTGGGAGGCCAAGGTGGGAGGATCACTTGAGCCCAGGAGTTTGAGACCAGCCTGGGCAACATGGCAAAACCCCATCTCTACAAAATACAAAAACTTAGCTGTGCATAGTGGCATGTGCCTGGTCCCAGCTATTCAGAGGGCTGAGGTGGGAGGATCACCTGAGCCCAGGAGGTCAAGGCTGCAGTGAGCCAAGAGTGCACTTTGTTATGACCATGTCATAAACAAATAAATATTTTATAAATATTTTATTGCTTTTCCCAGATTTTTTTTTCTTGTGCATATCTTGTCTCTCCAATCAAACTGTCTACAAGGCCTTCTGTCTCGGCTGGAAGTTACAGCGGACTCTTAACCATCATCCTAGGCTCTAGTTTTGCATCTCCCATCCTGCGACTTGCATCTTCTTCATTATGAATAGAGTGATCTTTCTGAAACCTAGAGTTACGGATGTTCCTCCTGCTGAAAATCTGCAGTACCTACAGTCTGAGTGCTGACCATGGGCCTCTCAGGTCCAGGGCATGACCCCACGACGCCACTACCAACATTTTTCCGCCCCTTGTGCGGAAAGACCCCATATCTTTCCGCCCCTTGTGCTCCAGCTAGAGCACTTGAGTTCTCATGCTCCAAATGAGCCACCCCACCCCAACACAACACATCTTCCCTCTGTCCCAGGCCCTGTCTCCCTCAAGCTCCAGCACAAGCATCTTCTTCTTTGATGCTTCTCTGATCATTCTTCAGCTCTCATTTCTTCTTCTTCTTTTTTTTTTTTTTTTTTTATTTTTTGAGACGGAGTCTCGCTTTGTTGCCCAGGCTGGAGTGCAGTGGTGCAATCTCGGCCCACCGCAACCTCCACCTCCTGGGTTCAGGTGATTCTCTTGCCTCAGCCTCCTGAGTAGCTGGGATTACAAGCACCTGCCACCACGCCCAGCTAATTTTTATATTTTTGGTGGAGACAGGGTTTCACCATGTTGGCCAGGCTGGTCTTGAACTCCTGACCTCAGGTGATCTGCCCACCTCAGCCTCCCAAAGTGCTGGCATTACAGGCATGAGCCACCGCACCCGGCCTCTCATTTATTCTTGATCGTCTCTCCATTATCACATTCAAATTACCTGTTTGTGGACACTTTTCCCCAACTGACCATGAGTGTGCCAAGGGAGGGACCCAGTGTCCTATGTCTCTGGCTGCTTCCCAGCCCTCTATACTCTAGGCACTCAGTAGTCAGAACCAGCATCTACTGAGCACTTACCATGTGCTAGGCATTATTTACATGCTTTATAGGCATGAACTTGTTTATTTTTCAAAAAAGCTTTATGAGACAGTGTATCATTCAACGTCCTAGCTGGAGGCAGAAACCACAGCAATTATTTGAACAGAGAATTTAATCTTTAAAAATAGTTATAAGGCATAAAGTGTTCACTTGGTACAGGAAGCACTACCCTAGAGCTGAAGAAATAGGAGGAGGAGGTAGGAATGATTAAAACCTGGGGCCAGGACCCAGACCTCTAGGATGGCATCACCAACCGATTCCAGAGGCAGCATCACTGGGCCGAGAAGTAGGGACAGCGAAGCGTGTTCTGAGTGTGGGAAAAACTGCAGAATGGATGTAGCTGCTGCTAAAGGAAGGAGGTGCCACTGCTGGGCTGAAAAAATGGGACTAGGGTGATGCCCACAGGGACAGGAAGCAACAGGAGGAGCAAGCGCCTTTCTCCCCTTCCAGACCCTTCATGTCCCAGTCATGCTCCCTCTGGGTGGCACCTACAGGCAGCAGGTGGCCAAGCAGAATTAGGGTTTGTAGAGTCGTGGCCTAAGCATCACATCTTAGGGCTGAGAGATGACAATGTAATAACTGGCACAGATTATTCCCATTTCACAGATGAGGAAACTGAGGCACAGAGATTCAGTCACTTGTGTGAGATTAAAGGACTACCTAGAGCAGAGGCAGGGTTTGATCCCAGGTGACCTGGCCCCCGAGCCCCTACCCTTAACCACTCTGCCAAAATGTTGAATGAGCGAATGAGCAGACCCTCAAATAATGCTTAGCCCAGTGCTGAGCCATGGCTTCCTACAGGTGTGAGGGATCCCCACCCCACCCCTGCCATACCTGACCACTTCCTTATCTCCCTGCCAGGTCATTCACTGGAACTCCCCCAAGAAGCTCCGGGTGAAGAACAAGCATGTGGAGTTTTTTCGCAACCTCTACCTGACCTTCCTGGAGTATGACGGCAATCTTCTGAGGCGGGAACTGTTTGGCTGCCCCAGTGAGGCTGATGTCAACAGTGAAAACGTAAGTGGCTCGCAAGGCTGGGCAGGGAAGGGGCGGCTTCTCTGCTCATCCATCAAGGACCTCCCCCATGCCAGGCTCTATGTCAGGCTCATGGCAGGACCTAGGTGAACACAACGCCATCGGTGCCCAGGGTCCACCATCTAGTCGGGGAGAGAGGTACATCAGCGGGTCCTTTGCATGCTCATCATTGTGGATGCAGACAGGGTATGTTTGGTCCAGACGAGGTGAAGTCAGAAGTGAGTTTCCAAGCAGAGGAAACAGAATGAACAAAACCACCAGTGAAAGGAAAGATCAAGTGTCTCTCATAGCCAGGAAACACCAATGTTTTTGTGGACATGATACCCACATGGGAGACCCTGGATTCAGTGTAGTCAGTGCATGGGGAAACACAAAAAGAGCTTTTCACAAGTAACTGGCTCCTTTAGGGTGAGCATGGGTGAAGACAGTGTTAGGTAGGTACTAAGTCACCGCCATAGCTACAGTCTACTATAGCTATTCCTGTTTCTCTGTCTCTTCACCACTTATAATTTGTTCATATGCTGTATCTCATTTGATGTTCATAGAAACCCACTTTTTTTTTTTTTTTTGACAGAGTTTCACTCTGTCACCCAGGCTGGAGTGCAGTGGCGTGATCTTGGCTCACTGCAACCTCTGCCTCCCGGGTTCAAGCGATTCTCCCGCCTCAGCCTCCCAAGTAATTGGGATTACAGGCATGCACCACCACACCCGGCTAATTTTTTGTATTTTTAGTAGAGATGGGGTTTCACCGTGTTAGCCAGGATGGTCTCGATCTCCTGACCTCGTGATCCGCCTGCCTTGGCCTCCCAAAGTGCTGGAATTACAGGTGTGAGCCACCGCGCCCGGCCAGAACCGACTTTTTAGAGTTGAGTAAGTTGAGGCACAGAGAGATTAGGCAGGTTGCCCATGGCCCCACAGGAAACAAGGAGCAACGTTGAGACTGGTTGTGAGTTTCTTAGGATATAGAGAAGAGGCACTTTAACAGAAAAAGCAGGGCATGGGGAGTCAGGCTGACCTGGGTTTGGCTTTAATTCCTTCCAGTTACTACCTGTGTGATCTCAGATAAGTGACTCAACCTCTGTGCTTCATTTTCTTCAACTGTCAAATGGAGAATAAAAACTTTTGTGGGGCCAGGCGCGGTGGCTCACACCTGTAATCTCAGCACTTTAGGAGGCTGAGGCAGGCGGATCACTTGAGGTCAGGAGTTTAAGACAAGCCTGGCTAACATGGTGAAACCCCATCTCTACTAAAAATACAAAAATTACCAGGCATGGTGGCAGGCACCTATAATCCCAGCTACTCGGGAGGCTGAGGTAGGAGAATTGCTTGAACCCGGGAGGCGGAGGTTACAGTGAGCCGAGATCATGCCACTACACTCAAGCCTGGGCAACAAAGTGAGACTCTCTCAAAAACAACAACAATAACAACAAACTTACATGGGATGTTTTGACAGTAGCTGAAAAGTTGCATGCAAAGCACCTAGCTTGGTGTTGGCCCTGTGTTACATGCATAGTCAATATTTGCACTCTGCTCTTTCCTTGACCCTTAGTATTAGACACAGAAGTACCTGGTTCATTCCTTTAGGCAGCAAACATTTACTGAGGACCTTCTACTTATTCTGCACACTAAGTATTCGTAGATGAAAAAGGACTTTGGTTCCTGATCTCATGATGTTTATATTCTGGTGGAGGAGACACAGTTAATAACTAAACTCGCAGAAAACAATGATCAGCCAGTGGCAACTGCTACATAGCAATATATTAGTGAGCAGCTCCACTGGTTTAAGGATTTCTATGAGGAGGTGACGTTTAGTCTGAAACCTAAATGACATGAATGAGCCTCCCAGAGAAGAGCAAAGGGAGCACGTTCCAGGTAGAGGAAGTAGCTGGTGCAAAGGCCCTGAGGCAGGACAGGTTCGGGGTGTGGAACAGAAGGATGGCCAGTGTGCCTAGGAGCTAGTGGGGAGGGAGGGCTCAGGTAGGCAGGAGCCAGATTGGTAGGAGGTTGTATGTTGGATTTCAGATTCAGAATTTTGATTTATTGTTGTTGCTGCTGTTTTTATAGTTATTTTTTATAGTTATTTTGGATGTAGTGAGAATTCTTTTAGGCTCCCAATGGCAGGGAAGGGCACCTGTGGAAGGACCAGAGGCATGTACTCGCCTGGCCTTTTATCAGGATGACCCTGGTCACAGTGCGCCCCTGCTCTCTGTGACTGGGTCCCCAAGTCACAGTGGATCGCCACTGGCTCTGGCCCTTCTCCCCATCACCCTAGAGGCCTTCTCAGCATCTGCCCTCCTTCGCATCTAGTGATAAAGGAAAGAAAACCATTAAGCACTGGAACTCTTTCAGATTCTGGGAAGCACTTAGAGGCTCAACAAACACTGTTCTTTCAGTTTTTCCTTCAGTTCTCTTTGCTCACATCAGTATGTATCATCATCAAGATTTGAGTGCCCATTCGGCACATTTTTGCAAACGTTAAATGGAAACTGTTCTCCTACCTCGTTTATTTCCCCCCTCCATGGAGAAGGCTCCCATAAAAAGCCTTGCAGGATGAAGCCGTCAGTTAATCATTTGTATCAGTGCATTCCCATGCCATGCTGCTGCTCAGTGTTATAAGAAATGAGACTCCTTTTATGAGTGACTCACCAGCTTTTCCTACCATCTCCTTCCCCTGGGGGGATCGGCGAGGTGAAGAAGTCGTCGGTGGTCTTTCTCGGAATCCGTGACCATACTTATTTGCTCAGGAAGAATGCGTGAATGCTGGCCATCTGCCAGGAGCCGTGTAGCTCACGGGGGTTGAACTTAGAGACTGAGCCCACCCCTGTATGTAAGTGGCCTGAAGCTTAACAGCTCTTAGAGATGCCAACAGGAAGGGCCGTCTGGGCCCAGGAGGCCCATGAATGAGAAAGCAGCCTGCTCTAAGCAGTCACCATGGCTGTCATCCCAGTCTCTCTCCCCTCTCTCCCTTGACCACTATGCATGGGCCACATCCACCTCCTTTCTGTGCTTTCTACATTCTGGGCTCACCATAGGGCTTTCGTGCTTGCTATTCCCACTGGCGGGAACACCCTGACCCTCTGTGTTTAAATGTCTCAGCTGTGACATCACAGAAACTTTGCAATCCCCTACCCCCACACAAAGTAATCCATTAAGTCACTGTCTATGACATGCCCTGTTTCTTTTTGTTTGGTGTTTTTTTTTTTTGTTTTTTTTTTTTTGAGACAGAGTCTTGCTCTGTCGCCAGGCTAGAGTGCAGTGGCGCGATCTCAGCTCACTGTAACCTCCGCCTCTCCGGTTCAAGCAATTCTGCTTCAGCTTCCTGAGTAGCCAGGGCTACAGGTGCACACCACCATGCCCAGCTAATTTTTGTATTTTTAGTAGACACAGGGTTTCACCATGTTGGCCAGGATGGTCTTGATCATGATCACCTTTCATGATCCACCTGCCTCGGCCTCCCAAAGTGCTGGGATTACAGGCATGAGCCACCGCGCCTGGCTTTTTTTTTGAGACGGAATCTCGCACTGTCGCCCCAGCTGGAGTGCAGTGCCGCGATCTCGGCTCATGGCAACCTCTCCCTCCCAGATTCAAGCAATTCTTCTTGGCTCAGCCTCCCAAGTAGCTGGAATCAGAGGTGCCTGCCACCATACCCGGCTAACTTTTTTTGTATTTTTAGTAGAGACAGGTTTTCGCTGTGTCGGCCAGGCTGGTCTCGAACTCCTGACCTCAGGTGATCCACCCACCTCAGCCTCCCAAAGTGCTGGGATTACAGGCATGAGCCACTGCACCCAGCCCCTGTTTTCTTTTTGTCAGAGCATCTACTCCTGTTTACAATTACCTGGTTCATATGTTCGTTTCCTACATTTTTTCATAAATGTAATACCAAAACATAAGACTCTTAAAGACTTTGTACTGTTCACCTCTGAGGTTCTCCGTCCTAACATAGGATAGAACCAAGCACATAATAAGCACCTAATAAATATTTATTGAGTGAATGTACTAAGTAAATTTAAGAAGTAAGAATGAATTACCACCAAGTAAAGGGAAGAGCAGATGAAGAAGTGAACTGTTAAAAGAGAACATGCTGGAAGTTCATGTACCAGAGCACAGGCATGTTGGGGGCATGGCTAGGAACAAAGCTGACCAGGAGGCGCCCTGACTGTGCTGAGAAGCTTGGAGTTTCTCCTCAGGGCAGTGAGGAGCCACTGAAGGGTTTTGGTGATGGGCAGATTTATATTAGAGAAAAATCACTCAAGGTAGAGGATGAAATGAAAAAGACAAAACTGGAGGGACCACTTAAAGGACATTGCCCCGGCCCAGCACAGTGGCTCACGCCTGTAATCCCAGCATTTTGGGAGGCTGAGGTGGGCGGATCATGAGGTCAGGAGATCGAGACCATCCTGGCTAACACGGTGAAACCCTGTCTCTCTAAAAATACAAAAAAATAGCCGAGCTTGGTGGTGGGCGCCTGTAGTGGGCGCCTGTAGTCCCAGCTACTCAGGAGGCTGAGGCAGGAGAATGGCATGAACCCGGGAGGCAGAGCTTGCAGTGAGCCGAGATCACGCCACTGCACTCCAGCCTGGGTGACAGAGTGAGACTCCGTCCAAAAAAAAAAAAGGACATTGCCCCATCCCAGGCAAAAACATGATGGATGGGGCTCTGATCTCTAGGACAGTTGCGGTGGGAATGGAGAGAGCAGATGGATTGTTTTGTGGGTACTAAGAACATGAGAGTAGGTGCAGCTAGCACTCATAAGTCAAGACAAGCAGGTTCCTGTACACTGCTCCAGCCCTGTTCCTCTGCTGGCTGGGGCTGGGGCTGGGGCTGGAGCTGGGGCAAAGAGAGAGTCTGTAAACATTGCACTCCTGAACCACAGCTCTGTAGGGAGTTTACCACCTGGTCTTCCGCAGCGCGTCAAGTGTTATCTGCAGACACAACCAGAGGGAAAGGGTATGATCTTGGATCCAGCCCAAAGCCTATGCTCCCAGCTCTGTGGGAAGAGGTCATTAGAGCTGTGATAAGTGCACAGATGGTGGTGAGTCTGAAAGAAACCAAGTCAGGAACCTCTTCTTTGGACTTGAGATCCTAGATGGGAGCAGGCTCTGATGGCAGTGTCTAAGTGACTTAAGACTCCTTTCATCCACTGTATTAGTCCATTTTCACGCTGCTGATAAAGACATACCTGAGACTGGGTAATTTATAAAGGAAAGAGGTTTAATTGACTCACAGTTCCACATGGCTGGGGAGGCCTCACAATCATGGCGGAAGAGCAAGGGACGTCTTACACAGTGGCAGGCAAGAGAGAGAATGAGAACCAAGTGAAAGGGGTTTCCCCTTATAAAACCATCAGATCTCATGAGACTTATTCACTATCATGAGACCAGTATAGGGGGAACCTGCCCCCATGATTCAGTTAACTCCCACTGTGTCCCTCCCACAACATGTAGCAATTATGGGAGCTACAATTCAAGATGAGATTTGGGTGGGGACACAGCCAAACCATATCATCCACCCAGCTGATAATTCAGGTAGTCGCCAGACACAGGGCTAGTGTTCTAGCAGGCAGCATTGCAGATTAAAGCTCGGCTCTTGCAGTCACTGTTGAGTGAGGGTTACAGACAAGCAGAGGATTATTAAGTAGTGCGGTTAGTGCCAAAATAGTGGTAGTGCTTTGAGAGCACACGGGAAGGGCATTTTACACAACTAGGGAGAGAAGGTGCATCGAGGAAGACTTCCTGGAGGAGGTGAGATTTAAAGGTTGAATAAGTAGGAGTGAAGGAGTCTGAAGGGTAAACTTGGTGGGTGGGAGGGAGCAACATGAGCACTGGAGACCAGGAGCCAACACAAGCATGATCACTCGAGGACCTGCTGGGAGTTGAGAGTCAAATGAAGTCAGTGTGAGAACTATAAAAATGGCTGCACAGGCCAGGTGCGGTGGCTCACGCCGGTAATCCCAGCACTTTGGGAGGCCGAGGCGGGCAGATCACCTGAGGTCAGGAGTTCAAGACCAGCCTGGCTAACATGGCGAAACCCCGTCTCTACTAAAAGTACAAAAAGTAGCTGGGCATGGTGGCACATGTCTGTAATCCCAGGTACTCGGGAGGCTGAGACAGGAGAATCGCTTGAACCTGGGAGGCAGAGGATGCAGTGAGCCGAAATCATGCCATTGCACTCCAGCCTGGGCAACAAGAGCAAGACTCCGTCAAAAAAAAAAAAAAAAGATAAGAAGAGAAAGAGAGAGAGAAAGAAAGAAAAGAAAGAGCTGCACAAGTTAATTTTTGCATTATTTTAACTTTTTCACTGGGAAATTGATAATGACAACAAGAGTATGAGCTCTCTGGTAATCTGAATCGCTCATTTAATAGACACATGACCTCAGAGAAGTCACCTAAATGCTCTGAGCCTTGGGTTTACCATCTGAGAAATGGGTACATGACACCATTGCCATGGGGTTTTATGAACAATTGAAGGCCAAAAAAGAAGGACTTGGCACCAGGAACACAGTGTGCCTTGGGATGAGTTTCTTCACAGACCCCAATGCCTGACCCATGTGATCATAATCCACTGTTCCACACATAGGCTTTAGGTTTTATTAGCAACTCTGGTAAAAAGACGTAGCAGAGAAGGGAACCTGTAGAGTCTCTGAGAAATCTGTCTGTAAAGCATGTGAGAGGGTGTCACATTTGCTCTAAGTCAAACAATCCCCAGTATCCCCACTGATTCGGAAATTCAGGGTAGGAAGAAGAGGCTATTTGGTTTGCCTTGCTGCCAAAATAAAAATAAGGACATCCAGTCAGGGATGTAATTCTTCATCAAGGAGCCAAGATGTGAGGGGCAGAGCGCCATTTCAGAGCCACTGGTTGGGCTGCTTGCTCTAGGACAAGACAGTTTGATTTGCAAGAGAACAGGCTCCCCCAGTGCTATGGAATGACAGTAGCTAATTGGTCACAGCCACTTGTCTCTCATAGTTTGGGCATCTCTCCCTGGAACTTGTAAATTCTTTATGTAGTGCAGTAAGCATTTGGTATGCATTGGTTATTATGAGTTGATTGATTGACATAGGGATGGAGGTTAGAATTCTATACCTTAGCATTTCTCTCCCTTTTCCTCAACAACCCAGCCCCTCAAGAATATCCAAGAAATGGCAGGGTGCGGTAGCTCATGCCTATAATCCTTGCACTTTTGGAGGCAGAGGCACAAGGATTGTTTGAGCCCAGAAGTTTAAGGTTGAAGTGAGCTATGATCGATCCGCTATACTCCAGCCTGTGTGATGGAGTAAAACCCAGTCCCTAAAATTAAATTAAATTAAATTAAATTTATAAAAGAATATCCAAGAAACCCCAGGACTCTTCCAGAACATAGTTGGATAATCAGAGCTATTCTCTACCGTTTTTTCTATTCAGAATCCTTCCACAGTATCCCTAATAGGCTTGCATCTGGCTTCTGCTGAAATTCTCCCAAAGACAGAGAGCCACCTTCCAAGGCAGCTTACTCTGCTATTGGAAAGCTCCAGATGCTAAATTGTTCTACCTCATGTTGGGCTGAAATATTCCCTTCTGTAAAGAACCCACTGATCTGAGCCCTGTCCTCTGGAGTCTAGGTTTTGTTGGGTTTTTTTTTGTTGTTCTGTTTTTTTAATGAAACATAAGGAAATAAGGATCCTTCCACCTCCCTAGTACCTGACAGCCCAGAAGATAGCATAGAAAGTTTCCATTCAGTTTGCTATTTAGAAACATGCAATGCTCCCTAAGTATTGTATTTGTAGGGTGATGCTTTATCATCAAGAGGGTCTTGCTCCACCTAAGGGAATTTCCAACTAAAGGAACCTCATCTTTTTAAATGCAAAAACCATTAAAATAGATGGGTTTTAACCAATTTGGACAGGAAACTTGCTGCTAAAGTGTATGCCGTTCCTTTAGTAAGCAAACACTAAACTCAGTTTAGTATTAAACTAAGTTTACAATATTTGATGACTGTGGTTACATTGAAAAGGCTGGAGGAGGTGGAGGGGGTTGTCCAGAGGAGGAAAGATACTGTTTAACCTGGCAGGAAATGGCCCCAGACTGTTCACTGCTTATTCTGTGGATTCCTTTCTGACAGCTGTCACTTTCTGCTTATCAGCTTCAGAACAACCCTTTCTGGGCTCGCCTCCTTGTTCCTTCTTTCCAAGGCAGCCAACGCCCCCTTCCCCCCACAAAAAAAAAACCCACAAAGGTATTTAATTTAGAAAGACTGATGGTAAAAGAATGATCTGTTGTTATGTTAAAAGCTAGATTATGAAACATACCAAACATCCACAAACTACAAAAAAAAAATACACTGGACACCAATGAATTTTTGAATGTATATGGAATTGTAAGTCAACAGCCAGTGTCTCCAACCCCTGCCCACAGCAGACATCACTAATTGATGACTGCATTATTCACCTATGCCCAGCTTCTTTATCCTCCTCAAAACAGCACTCTGAGTAATCAGTATTGGTCTCCTAGCCTCCTAGTGATAGCAGGGAACCAAAGCCTGCTGGGTATCCCTACGATAGGTATTAGTCATTCTGGTCTCTCCTGCATGAGCACAGCTCTTTGTGCTGTTCTAAGACCTTTCTCTGCTTGCCTCTAGCTTTTGGGAATTGGAAATTTTCTACAGGGAAAGAAAGAGAAAGGGAAATACAACTTTAATCTTCACCACAAAGAGTGGGAGTCATTATGAGTCACATTTCACAGATAAGGAAAGGAAGGCTTCAAAGAAATGATTTACTTGTTCAAGACCACACAACTCCTAAGTGCTGGGGCCGTGATTAGAAACCAGGTCTACCTAACTCTAAAGCCACAAGACAAGGAAGTGCTTCCCAAATGGATGTAGCTATGTATGTCATATTAATGTAATAGTAAGTTACATTATTACATATATCCAGGTTATTCCACAATTCTCCTAGTTGTTATATGGATACGGTTTTCTTACTCTTTCACTAACCCTTCAAGGTAGTTCCTGTTATCTCCTTTTTTATTATTTATTTGTTTTATTTTATTATTATTATTATTATTATTATTATTTTGAGAGAGAGTCTCGCTCTGTCACCCAGGCTAGAGTGCAGTGGCACAATGTCGGCTCACTGCAACCTCCGCCTCCCGGGTTCAAGCAATTCTCTGCCTCAGCCTCTCGAGTAGCTGGGATTACAGGCACCTGCCACCATGCCAGGCTAATTTTTGTATTTTTAATAGAGCTGGGGTTTCACCATCTTGGTCAGGCTGGTCTTGAACTCCTGACCTCGTGATCCACCCACCTCAGCCTCCCAAAGTGCTGGGATTACAGGCGCGAGCCACTGCTGTTATCTCCATTTTATACAGAAGGAAATAGAAGCTCAGAGAGGTGAATTCATAGAACACGTTGGTGGCAGGGCTGAAGCCGGTATCAAGCCCTGATTCATAGTTGAGTGGTCTCTCTACGACTATTTAAAATACTCCTCTATCTAAAATTGCAATGCCTGTCCCATACCCCAGCACTCCCTCTCTCCAGGGCTCCTTCATTTTTCTCCATAGTACTTATCACTAATATAATCATGACTTATTTATTTTTGTTGATCATGTCTCTACCCACTAGAATGTAAGCTCTGTGACTACGGGGCTTTTTATCTGTTTTATTCATCAGTACATCTTCATTAAAGAGTGCCTGGCACCAGATCCATGCTCAATAAATCTTGTTGAACAAATGAACTATAACAAGTCCTTTTCTTGAAGCATTTGTGGTGTGCCAGAAGCATCCCTCCACTTGGACTCAGAAAATTTGGCCCAAGCTGGGAATAGTGGCTCATACCTGTAATCCCAGCACTTTGAGAGGCTGAGGCAGGAAGATCACTTGAGCCCCAGGAGTTCTAGACCAACCCAGGCACCATAGTGAGACCTCGTCTCTGTGAAAAATAAGCAAACCACACATGCCTGTGGTCCTAGCTACTCAGGAGGTTGTGGTGGGAGGATCACTTGAGCCTGGGAGGTCGAGGCTGCAGTGAATCGAGACGGCACCACCACACTCTAGCCTGAGCGACAGAGCAAGACCCCGTGGCCCTAGACCAGATCTATGATTTTAGGCATAACTCTAGCCTTACATGAACCTCGGTTTTCCCATCTGTAAAATGGTCAGTAAATGCACCCACACCAGGCTATTTGAGGAAAGTTAAAGGGGTTAAAGTATTCAAAGTGCTGCACCATCTAGGCAGTTATTGTTACGAGTATTTTCCAGAAAGCTTGTCTTGGATACCCGCTCTCTCAACTGCTGGGAGATCACTGCCTCACCTCTGAAATGAAGAAGGCTTCCAAGCTTAACTCTCTCACGCTATGAAGGTGACAGGCCACTTCCAAGGCCACGTTCCCTGACACTAAGCCTGCTAAGAGGAAAAAACAACAGCATCACCTCAACTAGAAGTTAAAAATAAGACACATATAAACAGATTCTATAACATTGTATGGCATCACCCTGCAAGACAATGCCAAGAAACAGATGGCTCTGTGGAAACAGCTGTATCTCAGAAGAATCCCGGAGAAAGCCCAGAATGCATTCCTGCTCTCACGTGCGAGCCGCATGTCGCCAACTCTTCAGTCACGCAGCAGGCAGCAGAGCCCAGGATGGACAGACCCAAAACCCTAAGACAGGCTAGGCTGCTCAAGGCCAGTCTCCAAAGGACCCTCCAGGAATGTGTTAAGCTCCAGAGAGAGGGGGTGAAGGGAAGAGGAGCTGTGGGATCAAGAGACTCAGTGGATACAAGTCTGGGCCACGGTTTCCCCTTGTGGCCTGGCTGCTTTGATCCTGTTCAGCTGCAACTTACACAGAGCCCTGTTTGACCCCTCTAGGCACTGGTTGTCATCTCTCTGCACTTGCCAGGTGTTCGGCCCTCCCTTGTCTATAAAGCAGCTCCCTCCCTTCCTCTCCTTTCCACCATATCTCCCTTTCTCAAGTGGCATCTCTTACTTGTGCAGTAGATAAGAAGGCAGCTCTGGAATGAGGCTGCCTCATGTGAAATCCCAGCTGGACTGCCAGCTGTGGGATTCCTGGTGATCTGCTTAAACTCCCTGCACCTCAGTTTTCTCATCTGTACGATGGAAATTAGTTATTCCTATCTGATAGACTTAAGAGGAATCAATAAAGTAAGACAGGGCCAGGAGCTTAGAACAATGTGGCAGATGGCAAAGGCCCCCCAGAATTAAGGTTTGTGTTGTGATTGCACTGTGTTTGTAATTAGTGACTGGCTTCATTGCCTCTCCTCCTAGACCATAGGAATAATACAAGTGCAGAAGCAGGAGCTCATTCCCCATTCCTAGCACAAGACTTGGCATAAAATAAGAGCCTATGAATTGTATGTGATGCGTGAATTAATACTGATAACTGGGAGGGAGGAGACCAAGCCTTTTTCTTATCTCCTCCAAGTCGAGGTCAGGGCTGGGCAGACCCTCTCTGAACCTTCACTCAACAGTCCTGAATGCAGCCCCCTACCTCCCTGCAAAAGAATGAAAATGGACTCATAGTTTGGTTTCCTTAGTAAAAAAATGCTTTGGGTTCCTGGAACTTGTTGATTAATACACACAGCAGGCAACGAGGAAGGTCGTGAGCTTTTTCTGCCTGTCTGTGTGGCTTAATAAGATGTAACTGCTTTGTGGAAACCACAGGGACAAGCTCTGGGTTAGGTTTCAGGAGACCAGAGTTGGAGCCCCAGCTTCTCTGAGCACCTTGGGCCCTCATCTGTCAACTGAGGGCCCTAAGGGCAGCCTTGCCTGTCTCATGCAAGCGCTGGGGAGGAGTAAAAATGAAATAGTGGATACGAAGCCACCAAAAAGTGAAAGCAAGTTGAAAGTGCAAAGCAACATGCTTGAGTGGTAATTTCCCCATCAGTGATTTCACCCATTGCCCCAAGACATCAGAAGGAGGGGTGTCACAGGAAGGAAGAAACGGGGCCTCCCAGACTCCTTAATTGGTCCATCGTACTATGTCTCCATCACTTACAGGCTACAAGCATTCAAATGTGCCTGTTAGTCAAGGTAGCACAAGCAGCTGTAATGTGGCTCAACCTGCTGGAACCTTGCAGAAAGTCCACATGGGTGTTCATGATTGGCAGGTAGTTTTTCTGCAGGTTGAAGGACCCAGGCTCCTTTTGTCTTGTGGCTCTGCCCTCCACAGAACCCCAGCCTGCTCTACAGGATTCTCTTGCTCTGGCTGTCAGCCAAGAAAAGAAGGCGAATAAAATTTGTTCCTGAGCAAGGCTTCAGAGTGGTGCCTGTACTAGCCAGAGCCTTTCCAGACTCCAGTGGCCAGAGCTGTATCACAGAGTTATTCTTAACTGCAAGGAGGCTGGAGATACAGCCTAGCTCTGTGCCCAGGAAGAGAGCAAAATATGGATATTGGTGAGCACAGGATGTTTCTGCCACCATGTGAAATACATGTGTTGAGTCCTCTGCAGTCACAGAATCGTTTACTGTTAGAACTAGAAAGAAGCCCAGAGGCTGACCAACTAGGCATTGTAGTGAGTTGGTTACCTGCAAGAATTCAGAGGAAATACACCTGGGTTTGAATCTCAGCTACTCTGTTCGCGCATTGTATAACCTTAAGCAATGGCTAAACCTTTCAGATGATGGATGTCTTCTTCTACTAAAGAGGACTAAGAGTGGTTCTTGATCTGTAGAGTTGATGTGAGTCTTACATGAGAAAGAACCTGCAAAAGCTCTCCCCACTTTACCTGACCCAGTGAGTGCGTGATCCTTGAGCGTCACTTTAGGAAGTCCAAACCCTTTGTCTTACTAATTCAGAGACATGACTTGCTCAAGGTCGCATAGAAAATGAGTGTCAGAGATATCAGGTCTCGCTTTTCAGTTATCCCCATAATCTCACTCCTTAGTTTGCGCAACTGTGAACAGAAGTCTCTAAGGCCAGAGCACAGGATGCACTTGTACTCCCTCTGGATCCTCAGGTATAACCAGCCATCATTTCCAGCAGCTCAAAAAGTCAGTCTAGGCCACTGTCCTTAAAGATGAGGAGAAATAAATGCAAACTGCCTAACGGGCCATTTTCCCTTGGGTCCAAATTTCCCTCTGCCTCAGCTGGCTGCCCAAAGAAGCAGTTTAGCAAATGCATTTTATCTCAGGAGAAATCTGTCTTTTGTTTCTGTGCCTCCCTTGTCAGGAGCCCTCTGTTCCCTGTGGCAGTGGCCAGAGAGCAGAGTACAGTAGCATTCAGACCCTGTTAATGAAATACTCCCTCCGGCTCCATGGCTCCCCAGAGAAATTACCCAAACCCTGGGTGAAAAGGAGGCAGGTTTTGTTTTTGGCTTTTTTGTTGTTTGTTTTGGGGGGGGGGTTGTTTGTTTTTGGCTTTTTGTTTTTGTTTTTTTGGCTTTTTTTTTTTTTTTTTTTTTTTTTTTTTTGAGATGGAGTCTTGGTCTGTTGCCCAGACTGGAGTGCAATGACATGATCTCAGCTTACTGCAACCTCCACCTCCTGGGTTCAAGCTGTTCTGCCTTAGCCTCCCGAGTAGATGGGGTTACAGGCACCCACCACCACACCTGGCTAATTTTTGTATTTTTAGTAGAGATGGGGTTTCCCCACGTTGGCCAGGCTGGTCTCGAACTCCCGACCTCAGGTGATCCACCCGCCTCAGCTTCCCAAAGTATTGGGATTATAGGCGTGAGCCACCGCATCTGGCCAAGGAGGCAGTTTCTAAACTGCTAGAGTCTCCCCATTGAGATAACATTAGCCACGCAGTCAGGAATAAGCGAGCCTAAATTAGAATTTGAAAAGGTACATAATATAATCATAACCACATTGCTTAGGTTTGGGTAGCACTTTACAGTTCACAAAGCAGTTTTACGTGCATTAGCTCATTTGAGAAAATTGCAGGGAATTAGTTAACTACAGAAAAGTTTAAGAAGCCAATAAAATTCATCTGTGAATCCACCACTCAGAAAATCTTTGTTAACATTATAATGTGTTCCCTTCTTTTTTTGAGTGGGTTTTTCTTTTTCCTTTCGTCTTTTTCCTGCACTGGGACCACAGTTTTTTATGGCCTGCTTCGTTCATGGAACATTGTGTCTTCCACCATCTCATTTGATTCTCACCTCCATCTCCTGGGAAGAAGTAATTGTGTTGTGAAATGTCCCTGGTTTGAGGTCCGAAGACTGGATTCCCATCCTGGACTTCTTCTCGCTCACTGAAGCAGATTACTGAAAGCTCCTGAGCCTTAGTTTCCTCCTTTGTACAACAGATATGTGTGCTGAAGGATTAAATTGATGAAGCAATGCACCTGAAAACATTTAGCATTGCGCCAGTCACATAGTAGGTACCCAGTTAGTATTAGGTGGATCAAGGTGCAAAGCACCATGTAGAGGAGAAATGAACATGCAAGTTCAAGGATGGCTTCTGGTTGCCCCAGAGTCCTGTGGACAGGTACGTCTGACAGCATACCTTTCTTTCTTTCCTGTTTTGTTTTTGTTTTTTGTTGTTGTTTTTGTTTTTGATGGTGGTGGTTGTTTTTTGAGACAGAGCCTCACTCTGTCACCCAGGCTGGAGTGCAATGGCGTGATCTCGGCTCACTGCAACCATCCCCTCCCAGGTTCAAACGATTCTCCTGCCTCAGCCTCCCAAGTAGCTGGGACTAGAGGCGCACGCCACTGCACCCAGCTAATTTTTTGTATTTTTAGTAGAGACGGGGTTTCACGGTGTTAGCCAGAATGGTCTCGATCTCCTGACCTCATGATCCGCCTTCCTTCGCCTCCCAAAGTGCTGGGATTACAGGCATGAGCCACGGTGCCCGGCCACCTTTTTTTTCTACAATACCCACTGTGGTTGGTAAATGACAATATTCCCTAGATAATACCCTTTATACACTGCAGCAAGGGCTGCAAGTGAGCTTGGGATGTGGATGCCACCAAATCCCATTATTGGTACCATGAAGTTCAGAGCTGGAGGTGGCCTCTTCTCCAGGACTGCCCTAGTCCATCCCACTAGGGCAAGGTGTACTTTGGAAGTCCTCGGAGCATCTCCGTTGACCAGTACTCCCTCTCCTAACATACAGGGGCTGAGGACATCCAACAGAGGCTTGCTGAACATCCAAGATGGATCACATCAGCCACGCAGTCAGCAATAAGCAAGCCTAGGTTAGGATTTGAAAAGGTACATGATATAATCATAACCACATTGCTTAAGTTTCTGCAGCACTTTAGAGTTTACAAAACACTTGACATGCATTAGCTCATTTGAGAAAAATGCAGGGAATTAATTAACTACAGAAAAGTATAAAGAAGCCAATAAAATTCATCTGTGAATCCACCACTCAGAAAATCTTTGTTAACATTGGATATAGAACCTGGATATTGCTAGGTTCAGATGGTTCAGAAATGAAGGGGATACAGCTCCTGCTGTTAGGAGCTCACCATATGGATGCTTTTTAGAAAGTGGTTCCTGGAGCCATTTACCTGGGAATGTCTTTTTCCCCAACTCAAGGGTATGTACCTGTGTGTGCATATAAAGAGAAGGAGAGGCCAGACGCAGTAGCTCATGCCCGTAATCTCAGCACTTTGGGAGGCCGAGGCGGGTGGATCACCTGAGGTCAGGAGTTCAAGACCAGCCTGGCCAACATGGTGAAACTCTGTCTCTACTAAAAATACAAAAATTAGCTGGGCATGGTGGTGCGCACCTGTAATCCCAGCTACTAGGAAGGCTGAGGCAGGAGAATCGCTTGAACCCGGGAGGCAGAGGTTGCAGTGAGCCGAGATCGTGCCACTGTACTCCAACCTGGGCGACTGAGTGAGACTCCATCTTAGTCAATCAACCAGTCAGTCAGTAAAGGGGATGAGAAACCCCCATACATGCATGTGTTTCTCATTCTCCACTCACTAATGCCCATTTTCACATGGTGAGGACCAGCTACTTGTCTGAAGCCTCATCAAAGAAGGACCCATTTCTCCACACACATTTGCCTACCCACGCTCACACCCACGCATCACACACATTTCCACTGTCCTCTTCATTGAACTGGAAGCCCTTCATTCTTCTGAGCATATTAAAACAGAAACCAAAACCAAAGGAAAAAAAAGCCAACCCTGCTCTTGCAAAGAATTTTGTAGATGTTTAGTCTCCAGTGGAGGATAATTTCTTGTGCTCTTCTGCAGTGTGGGTGAGGGAGTTTAGGAGCATAGCAGTTGGTTACGTTTTCTGCCGGGAGGTAACATTATGGTTTATAGGCATATTTTAGGCCCTCAAGGGGAAAGCCAGGGGGACTCCCTCTAATATGTATGAATCAGAAGGGCCACCCTGGCTCATCCAGCCCCTACCATCCCTGCCCACCAGGATCTTGCCATACAGTCTCCTTCAGGTGAGGTTTGAGGACAAAAAGTATCCACATAGGTGTCTTCAGGGGCCCAGGTGTTTCCCTTTCCTGTGATAATCACTATGATAATAGGTGACATCTGTTGAATGTTTTCTTCAACCGCTGTTTTCTCTATATGCAGCATCTTTCAGAATCCTTCTATAACCTTCTGGGGTAGTGAGTTTTGTCGTCCTCATTTTACAGCTGAGGACCCTGAAGCTCAGAAAGGTTAGGTCACTCACCCACTTACCTGAGATGATCCAGGCAGAATGGGTTAGAACCAGTGTCCTTAGCCACTGTGCTGCATCTGCGTCTTCACATGAGGCCAAGCAGGCATCTTTCCTGAAGCAGCAGCATGGTGGTGGAGGGGCACAGACCCAGGTTTGACACCTCCACCCTTCTCAACTGTTGGATGAGGCTGCCAGTGACTCACCGGGGGCTCTGGGGAGGAGAGGAAATCACCTGTACCCAGCACCTTACGTGGAGCTTGGCACATGCTTGTTTGCTCTCCAAAAGCTTTTCAGCCGTCACAGACCCTTGGATGCAAATATTGAAGCAAATCATAGGCTGAAGAATGGGCTTATTGATCACCTTCTGTGCATATAATTAGAGGACACAAAAGGAAAATTGAAAGGATAGTCTTAACTTCACAGTGATTACAGGTTTTTTGTATACAGCAAATATTTTTCAGGCATGCAACACATGATATTAGCACCTGTCACAAGCCAGGCATGGTGCTCAGGACAATGGTAAAATGTCACAGTCTCACCGGGAAAGTTGCCGTTAAATAATTTCAGTTTAAGTTGACAAGTGCTTTAATGGAGTTACGAACTGAGTGCTCTTGGAGCGCAGAGAAGAAACGGATTGCTTCTACCCAGCAGGATCTGCAGAGGTCTCACAGAGCAGGTGCCATCTGGGCTGAATCTTGAAAGGTAAATGGAAGGTTTTTTAGGTGGAGGAGAGTGGAGTGAAGTGAGGGAGGGCATCCCCGAGAGGGAAGAGCATGGCACGGAACAAAGTCACGGAGGTGTGAGGGAAAGGCAGATTTGGGGAGCACACAGACCAATGATGAGGCCACAGAGTGTGGGGGTGATGGGTCAGAGAGAGCAGCCCGTAATTGTCAACAAGGAAATCTGGATTTAATCATACAGGTCAGAAGGAAGCAGTGGGGTCATAGATCTTAGATGGAATGAGAATTTCAGCTTCCTTGTCTTATATTAAACTGTTGGCATGGTGAGAATCTTCAAATAGGCAGGGACAGCAAATTGACTTGAAAAGCTGAATATCCCTAATTGCATCCTTTTAACGGTTAAAAATTTTAGAGATAGTTGACAGTGTCTCACAGATGATTGGATCTCAGCCAGTTTCCCAAGCTGCATTTGGAAATGTTCAAGTACATTTGGAGCATCACAGGGCTGTCTGGAGAATGCTATAAGCATTTGGTGGGCAGGAGCTCGGGAGGTTGATTGTCCTTCAATATGTGGTACAGGTCCCCATAATAAAAAAGTGCCCCCCACAAAATACCAATAGCACTCTATCAGTATCTATTGCTCAGAACCAGTAAGATCTCAGTGGCCTTCAAGAAGCATTTATTGGCCGGGCGCGGTAGCTCACGCCTGTAATCTCAACACTTTGGGAGGGTTCGGTGGGTGGACTGCCTGAGGTCAGGAGTTCAAGACCAGCCTGGCCAACATAGTGAAACCCTGTCTCTATTAAAAATACAGAAATTAGCCGGGCGTGGTGGTGAGTGCCTGTGATCACAGCTACTCGGGAGGCTGAGGCCAGAGAATCACTTGAACCCGGGAGGCAGAGGTTGCAGTGAGCTGAGATCGCGTCACTGCACTCCAGCCTGGGCAACAGAGCTAGACTCTGTCTCAAAAAAAATAAGTAGTATTTATTGAGGCAGCTGGGCCAGGCTGGCTTGCATGACTTTGGCAATTGGGGAGGAGCTGCTCTGCCCCAGATGTCTCATCTTCCAGCAAGCTAGCCTCGGCATCTTCTCATGGCAATGGTAGGGGTGCAAGAAACACTTTCTCTTGAGGTCTAGCCTCAAGACTGAGACAATATTACTTCCCCTGCTTTTTGTTAACAAAAATACATCATGATTCTAGCCCTTATTCAAGGCTAGAGAAATAAACTGTGCCGCTTTAGTAAGCACCACTGCAAAGGACAAGGATATCTGGGGTGGCGGGGAGTGGGGGAGAGAGAAGGAATTGGAGCAATTAATGCCATCATCTTCCATAGCACACATCTTGAGAAATAATGCCATCAAGTAATCTGTCAAGGCAATGGTCTTAACAGGTACAAAGCTCTACAGAAGCAAGTTAATATATTTTCTTATTGACTGCTACACTGTTGATTTGGTGATTTAAAAAAGTACACCTTCTTGGAAAAACATTCTATGGTATTCAGCTAGGTTGGTAACCCTTGCCATGTAAACTTTTGTCTGTATTCTATCGTGTGATAGACAAGGCTGATTTAACAGAAAAAAAAAAATGGAACCAGCCCTCCTGTGACCTTTGGCAAATTATCATTTTTTTTTAATATACTTTAAGTTTTAGGGTACATGTGCACAATGTGCCGGTTAGTTACATATGTATACATGTGCCATGTTGGTGTGCTGCACCCATTAACTCATCATTTAACATTAGGTATATCTCCTAATGCTATCCCTCCCCTCTCCCCCAACCCCACAACAGGCCCCGGTGTGTGATGTTCCCCTTCCTGTGTCCCTGTGACTACAATAGCAAAGACTTGGAACCAAGCCAAATGTCCAACAGTGATAGATTGGATTAAGAAAATGTGGCACATATACACCATGGAATACTATGCAGCCATAAAAAATGATGAGTTCATGTCCTTTGTAGGGACATGGGTGAAGCTGGAAACCATCATTCTCAGCAAACTATCGCAAGGACAAAAAACCAAACACCGCATGTTCTCACTCATAGGTGGGAATTGAACAATGAGAACAAATTATCATTTTTTAAAAGTTTGTTTTTATGGAAATACAGATTGCCTCCGACAAGTCCTCCCATTCTTTTTTTTTTTTTTTGAGATGGAGTCTCGCTCTGTCGCCCAGGCTGGCATGCAGTGTCATGATCTTGGCTCACTGCAACCTCTGCCCCCTGGGTTCAAGCAATTCTCTGCCTCAGCCTCCCGAGTAGCTGGGATTAGAGATGCCCGCCACCATGTCCGGCTAATTTTTTGTGTTTTTAGTAGAGACGGGGTGTCACCATCTTGGCCAAGCTGGTCTTAAACTCCTGACCTCGTGATCCACCTGCCTCAGCCTCCCAAAGTGCTGGGATTACAGGCGTGAGCCACCGTGCCTGGCCAAGTCCTCCCATTCTAAGTGCACAGTTTGTTGAATTTTCACGAAAGTGCACATCCATGTACCCATCGCTCCAGTCATGGTGGAGCGGGTTTCTGTCACTCCCAGCCCTCTCTTGCCTCTTCCCAGGCTTCACTCCCCCACCCCACATGCCCGAGTCCAATTTTTGTCACTGTGGATTAGCTTTTTGCTAAGTTGTGTCACTTTTTAATTTCAGTTCTTCATCTGTAAAACATACATCATACCTGCCTGGTAGGGGTTCACATGAGACCGTGTCTGTTGGGCAGCTGCAGATTTGCACATCTGTGTATCTGCCTCTGCATATCTGAAATGTTATCTTCTTAGCTCCCTGTCAGCAGGTGTGCCTGCTCTTTTCACAAGTTGGTGAAGGAAGAGAGAAGTACAGCTAGTTAAACAACTTCTACAAGCAGATTAATGAAGTAAGACTTTCAGAGAGTTCAAAGAAAGAAAAGAGAAAAAAGTACGGGTGCCAAGATTCTGATTAAACTTAGGTGAAATGAAAGGAAAAGAGTTTCTGTTTTGTTAACGTGCTAAGTTTTGTTTTGTTTTGTTTTTTTCCGAGACCTAGTACAAAAATTGAAATCAGTAGCTCTAGGGAGAGAAAAGCATCAGGTCATACGGAGGTCCTTGTCAGTTTTGAGCGTTTTCTTCTTTGGGCATTTTCCTGTGTAATTTTTATTTTTATTTGTTTTATTTGTTTTTTGTTTGTTTGTTTGTTTGTTTTGAGTTGGAGTCTCACTCTGTCACCCAGGCTGGAAGGCAGTGGTGCGATCTCAGCTCACTGCAACCTCTGCCTCCTGGGTTCAGGAGATTCTCCTGCCTCAGCCTCCTGAGTAGGTGGGATTACAGGTGTCCGCCACCATGCCCGGCTAATTTTTGTATTTTTTGTGGAGACAGGGTTTCCCCACGTTGGCCAGGGTGGTCTCGAACTCCTGACCTCAGGTGATCCAGCCACCTTGGCCTCCCAAAGTGCCGGGATTACAGGCATGAGCCACCGTGCCCAGCCCATTTTCCCATGTTATTTGAAATTGTTATGCTGAGTTGTCTAGGAAAACATTTCTCATTTGTTTCTAAGGAGTTTATGGTTGGTTATATGTTTTTCAGTGAGCACCACCTTTGTTCTTAGCTAAGAGGGGACTCATTTCTCAGGTGTTAAAGGCATCCTCTTTTTTTTGTTTTTTTCTTTGTTTGTTTTTGTTTTGAAACAGGGTTTTGCTCTGTAGCCTAGGCTGGAGTGCAGTGGTGCCATCTCAGCTCACTGCAGCCTCCATGTCCCGGGCTCAGGTGATTCTCCCACCTCAGCCTCCTGAGTAGCACTACAGCCACACACCTCCATGTCCGGCTAATTTTTCTATTTTCAGTAGAGACAGGGTTTTGCCTGGTTGCCCAGGTTGGTCTCGAACTCTCAGGCTCAAGCGATCTGCTCGCCTTGGCCTCCCAAAGTGCTGACATTACAGGTGTGAGCCACCACAGCCGGTCCCCAGGCATCTGATTTTTACCATCACCTTTTTGAAATTAGATTAAGTTGCAGAGGGAAATAAAAGTGGTGATCCCTTCCATGTACGTCAGACCCATCAACAACGTCCTGATGGGTAATAAACTCAGGGGAGGGCAGGGCTCAAGGGGCAAGCTCATGGGCCCCCTCGGACCTCTTCTTCACGTGCCCAAGCCCTCTCTCCTACCCTGCAGCTCCAGAAGCAGCTGTCTGAGCTGGACGAGGACGACCTGTGCTATGAGTTCCGGCGAGAGCGCTTCACTGTCCACCGCACCCACCTGTACTTCCTGCACTACGAGTATGAGCCTGCAGCAGACAGCACGGACGTCACCCTGGTCGCTCAGCTGTCCATGGACAGGTATGGCAGACGGCCTCACCCACCCCAGTCTCCTCACCGCGGCTGTTACATGGAGGATAGAGAATGGAGAAGGGTGTGCCTGCTTCCCAGTGCATCTGCTAAAATTGGAGGATGGAGCAGGAAGAGATGGCACATGGGCTTAGAATATTGAAGCCTGGGCCGGGCACGGTGGCTCACACCTGTAATCCTAGCACTTTGGGAGCCCCAGGCAGGCAGATCACAAGGTCAGGAGTTCTAGACCAGCCTGGCCAACATGGTGAAACCCCGTCTCTACTAAAAATACGAAAATTAGCTGGGCATGGTGGTGTGCGCCTGTAATCCCAGCTACTGGGGAGGCTGAGGCAGGAGAATGGCTTGAACCCAAGAGGCAGAGGTTGCAGTGAGCCAAGATCGTGACACTGCACTCCAGCCTGGGTGACAGAGCACGGCTCCATCTTTAAAAAAAAGAAAAAAAAAGAGTACTGATAAGGGTGAGCTGTGTCACATCCCTACCACCTCCCCAGCACCGAAAACCAAGGGCTCTTACCTTATCATTGTCTGAGGATAGATGAAAGGATCGATTCTTAAGAAGTAGAGCCCGACTCGAATTACCTCAGGAAGAGGGACAGTGGGGAGACTGGAGCTACAATTGCGGCTGGAAAGCAACGCTGTTTCTTTTCCTTCTATGTGTATTGATGAAGCAAACATCCATCAAGCATTTCCAGGCAGTACGGACATGAGCCCCGCCCTGATGTAGCTTACAAGCCAATGCACTGCTTCTCAACCTTGTCCAGGGAGATTGAATCACCTCGGGAGTTGTATAACACGTTCACATCCAGGCTCCCTTGCAGAGCAGTTAAGTGAGGACCTTTGTAGGATAGAGCCCTTGGCATTGTTTTGTTTTAAGCTTATAACGTGTAGCCAGGGCTGAGAATATGGAGCTAGTCACATAAACAGCAATACACGCCTCCCGGGTTCACACCATTCTTCTGCCTCAGCCTCCCGAGTAGCTGGGACTGCAGGCACCAGCCACCATGCCCAGCTAATTTTTTGTATTTTTAGTAGAGACAGAGTTTCATCGTGTTGGCCTGGATAGTCTCGATCTCCTGACCTCGTGATCCTCCCACCTGAGCTTCCCAAAGTGCTGGGATTACAAGTGTGAGCCCCTGCACCTATCCCAATTTATATATTTTTAAAAACATCTCTGGCTGCCAAGAAGTGAATGGATTTGAAGCCCCAAGGTCACTCAGCCAGGGCTACATGGCTTTTCTATACTTGGCCATTCCAGGTGCCCCTTCCCACCTTGTCAGACTGGCTTCCGCTTCAATTTACACATGGCCCACAGTGGCTGCCCTTACCCCAACTCCCTCACATGTCATCCCCCCTCAGCTCCTACAATTAGGAAGGAAGTTTGATTCCTCATTCTGTCTTTTGAGCCACATCAGAGATGCCTATCCAGCCTATGGGTGAGATTCCATGGGATTGTTCTAAGGATTAAATGAGCTAATGCCTGTACAGTGCCGAGAACAGTGCCTGGCACATAAGTGTTCCATAAATACCAGGTGTTATTAGTCATGAATGACTGAAGAATGGACAAACTGATGAAAGAACAAACACCTGGATGCAAAAACGTTTTCATAAAGGCACTTGAGAGCTCCAGGAAGTGAGAGGAACCTGGCGCTGGAGGCAACGTGGAATGATTCATGTTGAGGGTGGCTCAGGGAAGTGGATTCCTTGCTCTGTGAGTCCCGCCACATGCAAGCAAATGACCACATGCATAATTCAATGGCTTCAGGGGCCGGCGGTCTCTTGGGGATTCACAGGCTCCAAAAGAACTTGGAGAAAGGCCACTGGGACTCCTGTGCACAGAGAACTTGGGGATCCTAGCAGGTAACAGGTAAAGACAGCATGGGACAAAAGAGCAAGGGACAAGCATGGAGGCTCTAGCACCAGGTCCATGCTTGACCTGCTGTGAGGGCCCTGGCGAGCCCTGTCCCTTCTTGGGCCCACAGTTTTCTCATCTCCACATCCACATGATCACTCGGCAAATACCGCTCACCGTTCTGCACCAGGCACTTAGTGGGAGGGGAATATGTGTTAAAAGACCTATCCCTGTCTTCAAGGAGTATGCAGCCTATGTGGGGCTCAGGCACCCCATTCGTTTTCTGTTGTTAGGTGACAAAGTACCACACATTGAGCAGCTTAAAAAGTACACCTTTGTTACCTTGTGGCCACTATGGGTCAGGAATCTGGAAGATGTTAGCAGGGCCCTCTGCCCAGGGTCTCAGGACTGAAATCTCAAGGGATTATCCAGGGCTGGGATGTCATCTGGGGATTGGCATCCACATCCAAGCTCATTTGGGTTGGAGCAGAATTCAGTTCCAGGATGGAGGTCCCATTTCCTTGCTGGCTGTTGATGGGTGTCCCCCTCAGCTCCTCGAAGCCACGCTCAGTTCCTAGCCATGCAGCCCCCTCCCTGCAGGGCAGCCCACTTCTTCAAGGCCAGCAGGAGAATCTCTCTGGCCCATGACCCTGGAGTCTTCTATAACATCACATGATCACAATGTGATATTCAGAAGCCCTGCCCACACCCAAGAGGGCGATAACACAGGGCATGTCCGCCAGCGGGGCGGGAATCTGGGGGGTCCCTCATAGAACTCTGCCTGTCACTGACAGGTAAACAGGTCTACAGTAGGATGTTTAGTTCTGAGTGTCGTGCAGGAGGTGCACCGATTCTATGAGAGCCCAAGGAAGTGGAGAAAGGAAAAGGCAGGGAATGTGTCCGAGGGGAGGTAGTACCTGAGTTGAGTTGGAGGCTGAGTGGACTGAGAGTAGAAGGCACAGAAGGAGAGAAGGAGGGCTCCCCGAGATAGAGCGTGCAGCATGTTCACGGGACAGAGAAGACGTCAGGGCCAGTGGGGAACACAATAGTAAGGTGTGGTTAGGGCTTAGGGTGTAGGAGGGAGAAAGAGGAGATCAAATACACATGGCCAGGTAGGCAAGGGCTGGATCACAGAGGGCCTCAGGGAAACCAGGGGAGGTGGCCAGCCCTTCCAGCTCAAATCTGGCATCCTGTGTGTCTCCATAGGGACACCCAACTGGTGTCCCAGAGTCACCCCTAAAATTCTCAGGTCCCTTTGGCCTCTCACCCAGATTTCAGTTTGGACACCTAGGCTCCCCACCACTAAGCATCAGGAAGCCACCTCACCACAAAGTCCCTCTTTTCACATATGTGTTTCCTTCTCCTCCATGGCATTTATAGTAAAAAGAAAATGGAATACTCCATGTCAGTGCTGAATGATGGTCTAGATTGGTCTCTTTCAACTGCATCTGTCCCCTCCCGTGAGCTAACTGAAACTCAGGTACTATAATCCATGCAAGTGAGAGGGTTTCACTTAAAGCCAGGTGCCCATTTCTCCAACCATCACTGGCTCTCTGTTGCATTCAGGCCTCCTGATAATGCATTCAGATTATCAGCAAAATATTCTGAGTCAATATTAGTGGCCAGTGGCTACCAAAGAAATCTGATATACTTTCTAATCAAAGTAAAGAGTAGCATAACAGTGAATGACACTTGGTCCCTGGAGTCAGGCACTGTGGGTTCTTTGTTGCCCTGTCACTTTGTTTTTGGACAAGTCACTTAACTTTTTTTTTTTTTTTTTTTTTTGAGACAGAGTCTTGCGGTGTCGCCAGGCCAGAGTGCAGTGTTGCAATCTCGGCTCACTGCAGCCTTCCCCTTCTGGGTTCGAGCGATTCTCCCGCCTCAACCTCCCAATAGCTGGGACTACAGGCGCGCACCACCAGGCCCAGCTAACTTTGTATTTTTAGTAGAGACGGGGTTTCACCATGTTGGCCAGCATGGTCTCAATCTCTTGACTTCGTGATCTGCCCACCTTGGCCTCCCAAAGTGCATCACTTAACTTCTTTAAGCCTCAGTTTCTTCATCTGTGATCTGAAAGTGGTAACTGTATCATTATCCTCATCCCTAAGGTTGTTACAAAGATCAGATGAGAGAAGGCGTGCCAGTGCTTAGTCCTGACATACATTCAGAGGCTCCCAGAATGATACCAGTACTGTTGACCAGAATCTTAATATTTGTGATATTGGGTAAAAAGGCACTAGACGGAAGGACAGAGAGCTCCGGGTTCAAATCCCACCAACTCATTCAATCCTCAGCTGGTGTTCTGGGCAAGTCACTTAACATCTTTGGGTTTCCGTTTCCTCCTTCTATAAAAGAAGGATAAAATTACTTGCCTCATAGGGTCCTGTTTAGGAGTAAATAAGAGATCCTCTATAAAAGCCCTGAGCACATATTTGACATCCAGTAAATACTGGCTAGATCTGAACATCCTTACGAAGGCATGTGCACATGATAGTTATTTAGGAGAGGTAAAGTGATGTAGTAGAAAAGAAAAAAAAGCAAGACTTGGATTCAAAGTACACTTGTGCCACTTCCTAGCTGTGTAAGTTTGAACGACTTACTTAGCCTTTTTGAGCCTCACTTGACTCATCTACGAGATGGTGATAACGTCAGATTCACTGATTATTGTCTGGGTTCTACAAAATAAGGTGTAAAGTGCCTAGTAAGTAGTTGATGTGAGAAAATATTAATTTCCCTTTTCTTAATGTTTCTCACCTCTCTGCTGGCTATAGAATTTGCTATCTGGAATTTGCAAACAAGTAGAACAAACATGTTTCTAGTTATTAACAGCTCAAACCCATCCTTCTGTATACACTAGTTAGCAAGAAGAGAATACAGACAAAACCAAGTGCCTCCTTCTATTGCCAGTGGGATCCATCCTTCTGGCCTGGGCTGCAGACACAGTGCATTTAAAAGAAAGTCCGGGGCCGGGCGCGGTGGCTCACGCCTGTAATCCCAGCACTTTGGGAGGCTGAGGCAGGCAGATCACAAGGTCAGGAGATGGAGACCATCCTGGCTAACACAGTGAAACCCCATCTCTACTAAAAATACAAAAAATTAGCCTGGCATGGTGGCGGGCGCCTGTAGTCCCAGCTACACGGGAGGCTGAGGCAGAAGAATGGTGTGAACCCGGGAGGCGGAGCTTGCAGTGAGCTGAGATCGTGCCACTGCACTCCAGCCTGGGCAACAAAGCGAGACTCGGTCTCAAAAAAAAAAAAAAAGTCCGGGCCCCACTCACATATACAGCAAACACCAACCATAGCGGTCTTCCCTTCAAAGCATGGACAGCCCAAGCGTAGCAGACACACGATACCCACTCCTGTATTGTGACATGTATCACCATCAGGACAGTATCTCAAGAGAACCCAAGGGATGCCAAGCCCTAATGAGAGGCACTTAACGGGCCACAATTAAAAATTATAAAGCGGCACTGCAGGCTTATGAAGAATGGTAGAAATTCCTGCAGCCACTTCCACTCTGTCAACACATCCGATTATGATGCAGCACGCGGACTGGTGCCTGTTGGATTGATTTTTAATTTAAGAAACCTTTCAGATATATTTGTAAACCTTCGAGTCAGAAGTAGGCCCTACGTGAATGCCACAACGAATTAGGAGAGCCGGCCTTCGCACTCCCGTACGCAGCTCCCTCTGGAATTCCGTTCAGAAAGAATGAACGTTGCAACCATGGCCATGAAGCCAGGAGTTCTGCTTCTCCTTCAGCAGCTCAGCACCCTTCCCTCCCATCCCAGCAGAAGACACCAATGGCAAAGGGACAGAGGGAGCTGATCACGAGGGGTTCACCTATCTTCTGACACCACACCAGGGAGAGCCTGGTTCTTTAGTGTGTTTTTGACAAAGATGTTAAGTGTTGACTACAGTTGCGGGGCCTCATGGGGATGACAGGTCACTTCTCTGCTCTCTCTGAGTAAAGGAGAGAGAATGGGCTGGGCTCACAGAGCCCTACTCTCTAGAACAGCGTTGCTTCAAGCCTGCTCCTGGAACCAGCAACACAGCATTGCATGGGAGCTTGTCAGAAATACAGATTCTCAGGCCCCACCCCAGACCTCCTGAACCAGAATCTCGGGTGGTGCCTGGAAATAGGGGTCTTAAGAAGCCCCGCAGGTGATCTTTAAGAAGCTTACATTTGAAAGCACTGACCGTTCTGGAGAGTGAAAGGTAATTTTTTCTCCATGTAACAGGCAGAGCGATGTTTTAAAAATGTAAATCAGGTCACATCATTAAAACCCTCAGATGACTTCTTGTTACATGTGGAACAGTGTCCCACCCGCCTGCTGTGGTCTTCAAGGCCCATCCAGCCTGGCATCTGTGCAACCCCTGACACCTTCATCTCACCCCTGCCCCTCACCGTCCTGTGCTGCACCCACACTGGTCCTGTTTCTTCCTGCTCGAACATGCTGAGCCCATTGTTACCCCAAGGGCCATCCCCTCTTCTTGGAGAGCTTTCCCCCCAGACTTTTCACAACGCCAGATCCTTCTCATTATCTGCTGTAACAAAATGCCACAAATTATTTGATATATGAACAATGGAAATGTATTTATCACAGTGCTGGAGGCTGGAAGTCCAAGATCAAGGCTTCGGTCGATTTGGTGTCTGGCGAGGGGGCACTTCCTGGCTCACAGAGAGTGCCTCATTACTGTGTCCTCACGTGGTGGAAGGAGCCAGCTAGCTCCCTGGGCCTCTTAAAAGGGCATGAAGGCTAGGTGTGGTGGCTCATACCTGTAATCCCAGTACTTTGGGAGGCCAAGGCAGTCAAATCACCTGAGGTCAGGAGCTCCAGACCAGCCTGGCCAACATGGCGAAATCCCATCTCTACTAAAAATAGAAAACTTAGCCAGCTGTGGTGGTGCACACCTGTAATCCCAGCTACTCAGAAGGCTGAGACAGGAAAATCGCTTGAACCTGGGAGGTGGAGGTTGCAGTGAGCTGAGATCGCACCACTGCACTCCAGCCTGGGCAACAGAGTGAGACTCAGTCTCAAAAAAAAAAAAAAGGCACGAATCTCATTCAAGAGAGTTCCACCCTCATGACCTAATCACCCCCCAATCAAACCTCTGGTTTGTCGATTGTCTTTTTTCCCCACTAGAATAAAAGCTCCTGAAATGCAGGCGCCTAGGCCCCTTGCCTGTATAGTATACCAGATGCATTGGAAATAACAAATATTTATTAGGTGAAGACATGTTTGAGAGGCAGAAATAGAACCTAAGGAGGAAATTACAGCTGTCATATACTGAGTACCTGCTGTATATCTAGCTTTGCACCAGACACTTTGTATCATCATCTCATTTAACCCTCAAATCCAAGTAAATGTTACTGTTTCACAAACTGCCCTGAGTCTTAGCAGCTTAGTACAAGAACTGGAATGAGCTTGTGATTCTTTGGATTGGCAGTGTGGGCTAGACTCTGCTGGGCTCATTCCTGTGTCTGCCGTAAACTAGGTAGCTTTTCGGGGGTTTGTCTGGCTATCAGCAGGGACCATGGGAACGCCAGGGCAAGGTGGTGTAGGGCTAGTTCACATGGCGGCAGGTACAAGCCGGTTGTCTCACCTCTTCTCATGTCATGTTTGCTAATATCGCATGGACCAAAGCAAGTCATGTGGCCAGGATTCATGTGGGAGATTATTTCCAGAGGGTATGGATAGAGGCAAAGGGACGATTGATAGCTATTTTGTAATCTACCAAAGGCATTATTATCCCCAAAATACATATGTGCAAATTGAAGCTCAAAGAGCTGTCACTTGCCCAGGAATACTGACATAGCTCAGAGGACAAATCCAGGCCTGTCTGACCCCAAAACCTACAGTTGCAAGCTGTGTGATATGCTACACAGCCTGCCTCATGGGCAGTGCACCAGATTAGAATGGTCCGCCTTGGTGGGTGTGAGTTCCCCATCCCAGCAGACACTGAGTGATCACTGCCTGGGCTGCTTAGTCCCACTGAGACTCTAGAATTCCTTCCAGCCCTGGTCTTCTGGGTTTCTGACCTGGCCGTCTCCCTACCTGTTCCTTTATGACTACAGAGACTGCGTGAGGCTTCCAGCTTTAATGGGACTCTCTGGAATAGCCCCCACCTGTTTTTAGATCTGCCAGACATTTCTGAGCCTTTGCCCACCCCTCCCTAGATGAAGCAGTGGTGGGCTCGATGGGGTAGTGGGAACCAACATGGGACAGAGACAGGCCTTCTGGGTTTAGGGTCAGCTCTTCCATGGACTCATCCAGCAAAAGAAAGCCTGGCCACAGAGCTTGGCATCAGCAAGAACTGCACGGGGACGACCCTTAGGGAACACATGAGGGGAGAGAACCTAGGAGGTAGAGGTTGCAGTGAGCCGAGATCGCACCACTGCCTCCAGCCTGGGCAACAGAGTGAGACTCTGTCTCAAAAAAAAAAAAGAAAAGAAAAAGGGCACCAATCTCATTCATGAGAGTTCCACCTTCATGACCTGATCACCTCCCTAATCAAACTCTGGTTTGTTGATTGTCTTTTTTCCCCACTAGAATAAAAGCTCCTGAAATGCCGGTGCCCAGGCCCCTTATCTGTATAGTATATCCGATGCATTGGAAATAACAAATATGTATTAGGTGAAGACATGTTTGAGAGGCAGAAATAGAACCTGAGGAGAGGGCCGAGGGGATTGTGGAACTTTGAGACAGATACCAAGAGGGACTGAGGAGGGGAAAGAGTGGGGAGGCATTGACACCGGGAGAAGAACACGCTCTTACTTGGGGAAACAGACAATGAAGCAAAGATATTTGGGAACATTGTTCTCAGCCTAACCCCAATCCATAGTAAATAATGACCTGGATCCGGGCTTTGGGGTGAGGTAGACCCGAATGTGAATCTATGTCCTTCACTTTGTAACTGCGTGACTTGAAAGAAGTTATTTCACCCCCTTAAGCTTCCTTGCCTGTAAGAGGGTGGTGACAATCTCAATATTATAGTTACTATGAGGATTAAATATGATAGCCACAGTGTGGCAAAGACATGACAAGCAGCAGGTAAAGGGGGAGATGGATGAGATCATGATCACACTTTAAATATTACCATCATTATTAGAAACCTCAGTTTGTCACAGTTGTTCAGGTCCTGGCAGAAAAGTTGGTTCTAAGGGACTAAAGATTGGAGAGATTGGGGCTGGAGGGCATAGAAACAGCAGTGCGTTGTGTCACCATTCTGTCTCGCTTGTGGAGGTTCCACAGAACAACATCCAGCTGTGTTATCTGTAAAGCTCAACTTATTTTTCATGTGCACAGCACCTTCTGAGAACCTTGAGTATTTTTTCTCTATTCTTTTTTTTTTTTTTTTTGAGACAGATTCTCACTCTGGAGTGCAATGGTGCGATCTCAGCTCACTGCAACCTCCACCCCCTGGGTTCAAGCGATTCTTCTGTGTCAGCCTCACAAGTAGCTGGGACTACAGGCGTTCACTACCACGCCTGGCTAATATTTTTGTATTTTTAGTAGAGATGGGGTTTCACCATGTCAGTCAGGCTGGTCTTGAATTCCTGACCTCGATGATCTGCCCGCCTTGGCCTCCCAAAGTGCTGGGATTACAGGCATGAGCCACCGCTCCTGGCCTCTCTGTTCTTACCCTAAACTCTTGGCTGAGCTTAGGAGAGGGACTGTGGCAGGTCACGGGGCAGGGGAGGGGTTCCTTTCTTGGAAAACTGAGACACAGAGGCAAAAACCAAGCCAGTGAGAGAATCCTGAGAAGTGGTCCTCTCTTCATGCCCAGCCAAACCTCCCTCCTTCCGCCCACTTCCTTCAGCAGGTCTCATGTCTACATGCTAGAAATTATTCTTGCGTTTTGCTCTCCAATTCTCAGAGGAGTTGTACAAATGGCCCTCTCATGAAGCGCAGAGTCCCCCACATTTGCAGAAGGTAAAACAGGTGCAGGAGGCATAATTCAAAATTCCAGATCAGAGCCCAGGAGAGGGCAGGCCCCCACAGCAGAAGTCTAGTACAAAGTTCAGTGCAATTAGGCGTCATGGAGAATGCATGCCTTTTTAAGAAATGGCTCTGGTCGGCCAGGCGCGGTGGCTCACGCCTGTAAGCCCAGCACTTTGGGAGGCCGAGGTGGGCGGATCACGAGGTCAGGAGATCGAGACCATGCTGGCTAAGATGGTGAAACCCCGTCTGTACTAAAAAATACAAAGAAGAAAATTAGCCGGGCGTGGTAGCGGGCGGCTGTAATCCCAGCTACTCGGGAGGCTGAGGCAGGAGAATGGCGTGAACCCGGGAGGCGGAGCTTGCAGTGAGCTGAGATCACGCCACTGCACCATCCTGGGCAACAGAGCAAGACTCCGCCTCAAAAAAAAAAAAAAGAAAAAGAAAAAGAAATGTTTCTGGTCAATTTGGTTAGCAAGCATTATAATGGATGAGAAATGGAGAGCATTTTGCACTGGTGAATATCTTAATCCTCCCTATTGAACGAGGAAGCAAATCTGGGCAGTGCCACTTAACAGAATTACTGAGAGAAAACTCTGGAAGTCATCAAAAAGGCCATTGAAACAAGATAGGTGTGCCCATTTCCTTTTGTTTAGAAGCATGGAAATGCATGGAATCGATTTCCTGGTAATCGTCCGAATAAAGTGGGCATTCTGACCAGGAGACTGCTGATTACGTACCTCTTGCTGGGTAAGGAAAAACAATTCAAGTAGGCTTTTGCTGTTTCTTAGCCATAGATTTTATGTACCAGACGCTTCTAACGCCTTTGAAAGAAAATATCTTTATAGATTTATCTTCAGACGTCTTTGCAGAACCCTCTCTGTTGCAAACCCTCCACACACACCTTTTTTTTTTTTTTTTTTAATTTTTTCCCTGGGCTCTATTTTTCCCCCTCTCCCTGGCTCAGCATCTCTGAGGTAGCCTTGCACAGTTGCCTGGCGCCCTGGGGTAGTAGGGGCTCTGAAGACGAGTGATGCAGACAGCATCACCCCAGGTAGACTTTTGTTTCCAACATTCACATATTTTTCTATTCCCTTTTTTAGTGTTATTTTTTTCTCCCTGACTCCAAGGTCCCATCAGGGTACCTGTCTACACATGTCTGGCCTCTAAGTGTAAGAGGCCAAGCTGATTGAACATACGGCACGTCCGTTCCTCCATCAGGAAAATGGGGAGAATGACAGCTAGTGCTCAAGGTTATTGAGAGAATTCTGGGAAGCTCCTGGCACACTGCAGCACATCTGTAATTATAGTTGTTGTAGCTCTTGTGTTTACTGTTTATTTTACCGTTCCTTGTAACTTAGCAGCCTCTAAGTTTGTGTAAGTCCTCTCTGGCTGGTCACTGCCTTAGGAGATCAGCAGAGCTTTTTTATACCTTTGTGGAGAGAGAAGTGTAGGACTTTGGGGCTGGAAGGGGATCTTCAAATCATTTAATATACTCACCACCTGGCTTTGAAACGAGGAGTCCAAGGCTTATAGTGGGATACAACTTCATATCACATGTTCAGTTGGAAGCAGGGAAAGATGAGAACCAGCAAGGTAAGTGTTTTGATGCCTGTTTTATAGGTAAAGGAACTGAGTGAGTCAACGTTGAAAGCAGGGATTTGATCCACAGCTGGTTGATCAAGTGTCACTGGAGGCAGAGCCCCACAACAGGCCCGGCGGATGATGCATGGATGGCCCAGGTCCCGCGGCTCACCCTCCCTGTCTCTTCCAGGCTCCAGATGCTGGAGGCCATCTGCAAGCACTGGGAGGGGCCCATCAGCCTGGCCCTCTACCTGTCAGACGCCGAGGCCCAGCAGTTCCTCCGCTACGCACAGGGCTCTGAGGTGCTTATGAGCCGCCACAACGTGGGCTACCACATCGTGTACAAGGAGGGCCAGTTCTACCCCGTGAACCTGCTGCGCAACGTGGCCATGAAGCACATCAGCACTCCCTACATGTTCCTGTCTGACATTGACTTCCTGCCCATGTATGGGCTCTATGAGTACCTCAGGTAAGGACCTGCAGGGGCCTGGCCATCAGGCCAGAAGGCACATAGGGCCATGCAGTGCCAGGACCAAAAGGCCCTTAGGGTCATCATCTAGTCCAACAGGTTTCTTTTCCAGATGGGGCAGCAGAGACCCAGAAAGGGGAAGGGACCTGCCCACAGCCACCCAGCAATAGAGTTCTCAGTGAACAGACTGAAACCTGAGTTTGCAGAAGGAAATGTTGATGGCAGAGCTTGGTCCAGCGAACATCTCTTTTTGTCTGCCAGTCTATTGCTTTTTCTGTAGCATCTATGAAAACATACCCTCCTCAGGCAGGCACGCGATGGCTCTCGCCTGTAATCCTAGCACTTTGGGAGGCTGAGGCAGGTGGATCACGAGGTCAGGAGTTCGAGACCATCCTGGCCAACATGGTGAAACCCCCCCCCTACTAAAAATACCAAAAAAATTAGCTGGGCTTGGTGGCATGTGCCCGTAATCCCAGCTACTTGGGAAGCTGAGGCAGGAGAATCTCTTGAACCAGGGAGTCGGAGGTTGCAGTGAGCCGAGATTGCTCCACTGCACTCCAGCCTGGTGACAGAGCAAGACTCCTTCTCAAAAAATAATAATAATAAATAGAAGAAAACATACCCTCCTTCTTCTGGTTTTGGACCAGACAACCTTCATATAACCCAAGAAAGATTATTGCCCAGTCTTTTAAACAAATCTAAGTGATGATGATGCCTAGTGCTTATGGAAGTGTTTGCTGCGCGCCAGGCACTGTTCTGAGTGCTTGAGAGGTAGGATCTCATTTCCTCCCCCAAAGTCCCTGCCGTGGGTAGTATTATCACCTTCCTTTTCTAAATGGGGAACTGTGGGACCGAGACCAGGAGCCGTTGGCCCGGGGTTACTCATCTAGGAAAGGGAAACTGGGGTGGAAACAGCCAGTCTGGCTGCAGAGCCAAGTGCATAAGCACCATGACAACTGCTTCTGTGAATCTCCAGTGTCCCTTTCCAGCTCCCCCCACATCATGGGACGGGGTGTCAGCAGCTGGAGAAAGCACTCGGCTAATGGAAGGCTTAGATGGCTGTGTGAAGAGTGCATTTATTACAGAATAGTACACAATTCGGATTGATAGGAGCCATGGAAGTCATATGGCCCAAAGGTCCCATTTCACACATGAGAAAACTAAAGTCACACAGTATCATGGTCCAATGACATTTTAAAAAAATCCTTTATTTACTGCCATTGGTCAGCATGAATTATGCCAATACCTAGTGAGTGCCTGCCTAGATCCAGGTACCATGAGAGGTGATTTGCATATATCATCCCATTGGTTCTACACATCGAACCCCAGAGGCAGGTATAGCTACCTGCATTCTACAGGAAGGAAGAGTGGGGCCCAGAGAAGCAAAATAACAGTCCAAGTCCAGAGAGCTCACGCCAGGGTGTGAACCAGCGTCTGCAGCCCCAGGTCTGCCCGTCACCCTGCTACACGTTGTTGGGCTGCGCTGGGGTTTCTGTTTGTCGCAAACCAGGCAAGGTCTGATTTCTTTCTCTCTCGTTCTCTTGCTCTCCCTCCCTCCTTCTGACTCCGTCTCTCTGTCTCTTAGTATCTTTCTCTTACTGCCTCTGTCTCTTTCTCTCTGAAAAGAGCTTCTAGGAGTCTTTAAACTTTCTGTCGGGAAGCCAAAGCGTAGGTTTAGCCTGCATACCCTCCGTGCCCTGCGCTGTCTGGAGCAAGGTCAGGCAGCCTGTGTTCTCTCTCCAGCTTCTGAGTCCGTGTCCTTCCAGGGACATCTCCGGGTTTCCTAGTGTTAATCCCTCCCCTGGGGCGGGAGGAGTCCCTACCAGACTCTGTTAAAAACAGTAGGGTCAGCGACCCCTAGGCAGCATGACCCTGAATCGGGAATGGGAGGTGCTGTGGTACCCAGCACCATGAGCCTCAACCCCTGACCCACCAGGCTGCAGAAATGGAGCACTCCCTCCAGCCCCAGCGCCTGTGCCAGTGCCTGCTGGGTCTTAGAATCCAGTGTGTGGAGCCAGGGTGCCCCCATGTGGCCAGACGGGGCTTGCAGCCTCTGATGCCTGCAGATTCTGAAACTTGGGCAGCTTCCGGGATGACAGGCTCCCAAGGGAACAGATAGATGATGGGAGTGAGTGCCACCCTAGACTAAGAAAAGAGGCTTCAGGATTGGACCCCTGCCCACCCTCCACCCCTCTGGGACTCTTCTTCGCTCCAGCCAATTGAAAGTGAGCTGGCCCCGTATGAGTCTGTGGTCTCTACTCCCTGTGCAAGGACTATTTAATTATTTGACCTCATGGGCATCATGTTTTAAAAAGCAATACGTATGAACAGTTTTTTTTTCTTTGTCTTTCTATGTTTTATTAATTAAAGGCATCGTTCACTGCTAATCCAGACCCTACTTGAAGTGAGGTAGCTAGTGTGCCCTTCTACTTAGCACTTGCTTAATGCAGAGTCACTTGAGGTGGTAGTTGGCCTTAGCTACCTTATCACAGGAAGGTATGTGGTTCCCCTCAGGGGTTTTGAAATATTGCAAATTGCTTTTAAAACTTTATTACTTTCTTCCCAGACTTTTCCCAAGAATGCTGAGTACAATTCAATAGAGAGACCAGAGCCCTGGTCTCAGGGAGCCAGTCGTCTCTCCACACAATCGTGCCATTATTGCTTTATGGACGCAGGGAAGGTTACTAGGTATTCATATTTTTCAAGAGGAGTTGGGAATCTGGATTTTCATATAAAATGTTTTTTTAATGTTGGCAACTAATTTTTAAAAATTGTTTTTAGATGATGATTTGGAGCAAAAAAATCATTTCAAATGCTGTTGAGGCCGACAAAATATGCCTTCAGGCTGCCTTGACTCCTCACACCCCCACCCCAAACTACCAGAGTGTAACCTCTGACCTAGACAATTCCTAGGCACCAAAGTATTTATGAGAATCAATGAGGAATGTCATTCTCTCGGAAGCCCCAAATAAGCAGACACTGTTCTTTTCATATGACATAATCATATCAACTTACCCTTGGCTTCAGGGACATTTTTTCTGGTGAGTAGATGGATTCATTTCTGACCCAGACGTTACCAGTGGATGCCCCTTGTGCACACCATAGCATCACTGGTGGGAGTTGAGGTTAAGGGTGCTGTTTGCTGTGGCAGCTGAGGACTCCAATGAAGCCCCCAGACCCTTCTAGAAACTGACTTTCTCAGCACTGATCTCCCATAAAATTCTGTACCCAAGCTCTGTCAAGATATTAATATTGGCCAGGTGCAGTGGCTAACACCTGTCACCCAGCATTTTAGGAGGCTGAGGTGGGAGAATTGCTTGAACCCAGGAATTCGAGACCAGCCTGAGCAATATAGTGAGACCCCATCTCTACAAAAAATTTCAAAAATTGGCCAGGCGCGGTGGCTCACGCGTGTAATCCCAGCACTTTGGGAGGCCGAGGCCGGTGAATCACGAGGTCAGAAGATCGAGACCATCCTGGCCAACATGGTGAAACCCCATCTCTACTGAAATACCATAAATTAGCTGGGCATGGTGGTGCATGCCTGTAGTCCCAGCTACTAGGGAGGCTGAGGCAGGGGAATCGCTTGAACCCCGGAAGGCAGAGGTTGCAGTGAGCTGACATCGCACCACTGCACTCCAGCCTGGCAACAGAGTGAGACTCCATCTCCAAAAAAAAGAAAAAAAATTGCTGAGCATTGTGGAACATGCCTGTTGTTTCAGCGACTTGGGAGGTTGAGACAGGATGATCTCCTGAGCCCAGGCAGCTGAAGCTAGAGTGAGCCATGATTGTGCCACTGCACTCCATCCTGAACAGCAGGGCAACACCCTATCTCAAAAAAACACATTTGTTAATTACTTAAGAATGATGACAGTTACAAGTTACTGAGCCCTTACCATGTGCCAGAAACCCTGCCAGCTGCACTCAGTCTGTCATTACCTCTGTTCTTCACACTGCTCTTTAAGGTAACTACCATTACAGGTGACCAAACTGAGGCCCCAGAGAAGTTAAATGTTAGCATTAGAGGAGGAGGAAAGCAGCCTTCCTCCATGCCAGCCTGCTCACTCTGTCGAAGGGGCCAGGTTACTCCCAAACCCCCAGGGTACCAGAGCAGGCCGACTGGCAGCCCTCGGCTTGTACCCCCAAACACTGATTTATATCACCTTTTTTGGGGTTCTATTTGGTTACCAAAAAAAGTTCAGCATGTTAGCTCTTTGAGCAGTTGCTTAGCAACCAGCTAATATTACAGCCAAAACAAACAGATCAATTGGAAAATAATGGAATAAGCTGTACGCATGGACAATAGCTGCAGAGTTTTACTAAAATCTCCTTCCAGCCCCTTCATCTACTTTTTCTGAAGAATGAGCTCCTGGATGTACAGCTTTCACTTTTGATCTCAGAAATGTCAGGCGAAAGTCAGCGGGGCATGGCAGAGGTTGCGCAGACTTGCCTTTGAAGCCAGGTTCCACAACACTAATCAAGTGTGTGAGTTGGGGCTGCTTGCTTCATCTCCTCATTCTTTCACTTCCTCAGTTAATATAGGAGCTAATGATAGCCTCCTGTGGGGCTATGGCGGGTGCCCAGCAGGAGTTCATTTTCTGCCCCTTGGCCTATTCAGTATTGGACTTCTGTGCTAGGCCCCTGCCCCAACCCAACCCCCGCCATTGCAAACTCTGCCACCTTCTGTGCAGCCTGGGTAGCTTCATGTGACCATCTCAATTTTTTTGCTTTCTGAAAATGAGAAACTATATATTGATACTACTCATTCTTTCAAAAACTGTGTAGTGAGCATGTACTATGTGTCAGGCAGTATGCTACATTGTAGGTGATGTTGCTGTCCCTGGGGGTCATTCAGACCTGCGTTTCAGTGCAGAGGACTCTCCCTCCCCTTTCCCTTCCCTCTTTTCCCCTCCCCTCCACTCCTTTCCTTCCCTTCCTTTCTTTCTCTCTCTCTTTCTTTCTTTTTCTCTCTTTTCTCATTTTCTCTCTTTAATTCATTTCTTTCCATACTGCTTCCTCTCTCTCTCTCACTCTGTTGCTCAGGCTGGAGTGGAATGGTGCAATCATGGCTCACCGCAACCTCAACCTCCCCAGGCTCAAGCGATGCTCCCACTTTAGTCTCCCCAGTAGCTGGGATTATAGGCATGCGCCACCATGCTGGGCCAATTTTTTTTTTACCATTTGTAAAGACAGGGTTTCGCTATGTTGCCCAGGCTGGTCTTGAACTCCTAGTCTCAAGTGATCCGCCCACCCAGGCCTCCCAAAGTGCTGGGATTACAGGCAAGAGCCACTGCTTCCCGCGTCTCTCTCTCTCTCTTTCCTTTTTTCTTTCTTTCCATCTTTCCTTTTTCTTTTCTTTTTTCTTTTCTTTCTTCTTTCTTTCCTTTACTTCTCTTTAGACACAGGGTCTTGCTCTGTCACCCAGGCTGGAGTGCAGTGGTGCAATCATAGCTTACTGCAGCCTCAAACTCCTGGGCTCAAGCAATCTTCCTGCCTCAGCCTCCCAAGTAGCTGGGACTACAGTTGTACACCACCTTGCCCAGCTAATTTTTTAATTTCCTTTTAGAAAAATAAACATAACCCAGACCCTATTGTCCAGGCTAGTCTCAAACTCCTGGGCTCAAGCAGTGCTCCTGCCTCAGCCTCCCACAACCCTAGGATTACAGGCGTGAGCCACCATGGCTGACTGATGCTGAGTACTCTTTATTTAGAATTTATTTGACCTTGGGAAAGGCACTTAACTTCTCTAACTTGTTTTATCTGTGAAGTGGGAATCATACTGCTTTTTCCTCTTCCCCAGTTCTTAAGGAACTGAGAAGATAAGAGCTAACAGTATTTGCAGAGCACCCAGGAATGCCCGAAACATTCTTTGTTCCATGCCTCTGCGTGGCCAGGCACTGTTTCAGGTGCTGGGGCTAGAACAGTGAACAGGGGAGACAAAGTTCTGGCCCTCAGGTTTACAGCCTGGTGGTCATTGCAGCTGTATGTGCCATTGCTAGCATCGGGATTCACACAGATACGAGGCTGAGAGATACAGGAGCTCAAACTAATAAGGGAATGACCCAATGTGGGTGCACACTGAAGGTCTCTAAATGAGGAGAGAGGAAGACGTGAGACATCGTGGCATTTCCAAGACCTGGACAGCTTCACTCTGCTGAGACTTTCCACATTCATGAGACTGGTACAGGTTTCTGACACCTTTCACTGACCCTGCAGAATCATCATCTTTTTTTTTTTTTTTTTTTTTTTGAGATGATGTCTCGCCCTTGTCCCCAGGCTGGAGTGCAATGGCGTGATCTCAGCTCACTGCAACCTCTGCCTCCCGGGTTCAAGCGATTCTCCTGCCTCAGCCTCCTGAGTAGCTAGGATTACAGGCGCCTGCCACCACGCCTCGCTAATTTTTGTATTTTTAGTAGAGACAGGGTTTCACCATGTTGGCCAGGCTGGTCTTGAACTCCTGACCTCAGGTGATCCGCCCACCTCGGCCTCCCAAAGTGCTGGGATTATAGGCGTGAGGAATCCTCATCTTTAATCCATGCCCAAAGTGTAAAGTATCTCTACTGTCCTCACTGCCTTTTGCCTTCTTGGGGACAAACCCTTCTTTTTTTTTTTTTTTTTTGAGACGGAGTCTTATGCCGCCCAGGCTGGAGTGCAGTGGCACGATCTTGGCTCACTGCAACCTCTGCCCCTCAGGTTCAAGCAATTGTCCTGCCTCAGCCTCCCAAGTAGCTGGGATTATAGGCACATGCCACCACACCTGGCTAATTTTTTTTGTATTTTTCAGTAGAGACGGAGTTTTGCCGTGTTGGCCAGGCTGGTCTCAGACTCCTGACCTCAGGTGATCTGCCCATCTCTGCCTCTCAAAGTGCTGGGATTACAGGTGTGAACCACTGCGCCCAGCCCCCTTCTTGAGGACAAATAGGCCACACTGGGTAGAGACTGTATTCTGACACTGTGTAGGAATGCCAGATTTCTGTTCGACTCTTTTCTCCCCAGCTTGACATCTAACCACCTACCCCCTTACATTTTCCCTGGCACATCATGGCTGTTCTATAAATACTTGTTGAATGAGTGCAGACATGTGAACAAAGCCAGGTAGAGGTGGCACCAGGTGAAGCTGACTGGCTGCCTGCCCAGAGACATTACCAGGTAACATTTCCTTGGGCCCATTCATTGTCTTAACTCTGCTGTATCTATAACATTCAACATTTACTGAGCACTTACTATGCGCCAAGCACTGTTATGAGCCCTTTCACCTGTATTTTACCATTAAGGCTCACCACAATTCATCTTACAAATGAGGACGTTCAGGCTAAGTAACATGCCCAAGGGCACAGCAGTACTAAAAGGATAACTGGCGGGCTGGGCGCAGTGGCTTATACCTGTAGTCCCAGCACTTTGGGAGGCCGAGGTGGGCAGATCACCTGAGGTTGGGAGTTCAAGACCAGCCTGACCAACATGGAGAAACCCCGTCTCAACTAAAAATACAAAAATTAGTTGGACGTGGTGGTGCATGCCTGTAATCCCAGCTACTCAGGAGGCTGAGGCAGGAAAATCGCTTGAACCTCGGAGGCAGACATTGCGGTGAGATGAGATCGCGCCATTGCACTCCAGCCTGGGCAACAAGAGAGAAACTCCATCTCAAAAAAAAAAAAAAAAGAAAAGAAAAAAGAAAAAGGATAACTGGCTCATCTTAGGCTTATCCATAGGTGTTCTATGCTTAGCCTGTTTATTGATCCAGTTGCCCGATAGGCCCATTTTATCTTCATCGTGATGGCCATGACCATCATCATGGCTTGTATTTGCCAAATGTATCCTATACACCAGGGAACTATTTTAATCTTTGCACCAGATAATCCATGTAGTTCTTACAAAGTCACACAGCACAGCTGCTAATACAGTCCCCAGCTCACAGAGAAGAAAACTGTGGCACAAAGTTGTAACGTGTTCAAGAGTATGAGCTGGTGAGTGTCCATGCAAGTGGGATCTGAATCCAGGCAGTCTGCCGCACAGCTGCCCTCCTTAGTGCCAGGCCCCCGTGATCCCCAGCCAGCGTTTAACTCTATGCCAGTACGTGGCAAGTGCTCTACAACGTTTAGCTATTATTACTAACAGTAAACATCAGGACAGTGGGGTAATTAAACAGGAATGTTGAGCATTACCTGAGATGGTGGAGACAGAGTCTCTAGCACAGAGCCTCGCACATGGTCAAGTGCTCAGTAAACTATGGCAATCATTACTACTTTTTATTTGTAAAATTTACCCCAAAAGCTCCTTCTTAGCTTCTCTTTCTCACCTGCCCCTCTCTGACTGACAGGTTCTTCCTCTGGAAATGTTAATGCCACCCATTAAGGAATCACCGGATCTTGCTCATGCCTGTGAGCCCATCTGGCTCTCAGATGACATGCCCATGTCTGACCTCATGTATTATGTGTGTATTCTACAGTGGCACTCTGTGGGCTGCCCTGTCTCCCTCATTTGCAAGTCCTTGCTGTTGTCCCCACAAAGCTCCTGGAAGCCAGTCAGCCAAGAGCTCATTTCCTAGACAACTGGAGTAGAATCGAGCAAACCCTATTCCCTGGCCTTTATGTTTAGGGATGAGACAAGAGGAGGACAGGGCTGTGCTGAGGTGGCCTCCAGAGTGAGCAGCACAGGTGGCTCCTTCCTTCCTCTCTGCCCACGTATTGTCACCCTAAGGTAGATTGCTAAATCCTCAGGTGTCATTCACATGATTTCCCATTGCCTTGGTCAAAAGCCATGCTTACGTCTAGCACTATTGAAGCTAGTCAGTTTAAACAGCTATGAGGGACAGCTGGAGACAAGAGGGCTTCTCGTAGTCTCCCAAAGTCACATAGGCACCCACACGCATGTACACACACATGTGTGCCCTTCTTTGCCTCTCACTGGTTGATCACACCTGTGTCTGCACTGGCCCTGCTGCTTCTCATCACACATCACTAGCTCACTGGTTCATGCCCACACACCTTGCCAGGAATAAGCTAAAATAAGAAAATGATGGTGCATCTCAGACCCAGGCCTCTGCTTTCTCTTTAACCCCCACTGGCTGATCCACTTCTTACGAGCATCCACGAGAATATGAGTGCATGACCGTCTGTAAAGGACCCAGGAAGGAAAAAACACTGTTTATAAGTGCCCTGTCTCGTGGCAGGTGCTGTGCTAGGCCCTGGGCAAATGTTATCTTTTTTAGGACAACCTAGTCAAAGATAAGTGCTTTTATTCCCATTATACAAGTGAGATTAAAACACAGAAGTTAAGTTTGCCCAAAGGTCATATGTATTTAAGTGGCAGAGCTATCGTGTCAACTCAGGTCTTTGTCATTTCCAAAGAGGCCTCTTCACAGTCCCATCCTCTCTACCGCATAGGGCAGTTACAAATAGATTCCTCCATTCCCTATACACTTACTGAGTGCCTACCGTTTGCCTGGCACTGTGCAGGACCTGGAAACGTAACCATGAACAGAGGCTCACCCCAGACCTCAAGCCCAGCAGGGCTGAGAGGTACATGCACAGGCAGCCACCACCAGTGAGCGAAACAGTCTAGGATGAACCAGTCCCAAAGAAGATGCAGACCCAACATGAAGGGGAGCATGAAAGGAGACACATCAAGGCCCATGGAGGTGGGGAAGGGAGGTACGGGGAGGCCGGTTTTTCTAACTGGCTATGCACTAAATCTTGAGAGAAATCAGTGCTGTTCCAGGGTTTCTGAAACAGATGCACACTCCAGCACAGGTTTCTTTATCTCCTCCTGTCCCCTTTTAATATAACTTTCATAGGAGTCCCTGGGAACTTGTATGAGAACCACATGGATTTCTTACGACTCAGGTTTGATTAAACAGTGGGCTCTCTGACATTTGATGCTGCAGAACAGGGCTGTGGAAACCCAGGGCTCCGAGAGCTGACAAGTCTGGTTCTCTCCCAGCATTCTGACAGCAGCCCCAGTGCCTTCAGCCCTGCGATTCCCAATAGTTTGTCACTTGTCAGCATTGGCCTCAGCCATTTATTGCAACACCGCAAAGAAGTCAGCACGGGCATTTCTGTTACAGGCGTGGAAACCTGAGTGGCAGAGATGGGGAATTCCCCAACCCCTGCCCGAGGAGTAGGGGCCACAAGAGGTCCCAAATGGTTACCAGCATCCAGTGGGCTGAAAGTCAGTCATCCTGGTGAGAAAAGAGAGAGTAGAAAGATGCCTTCAGAATTATGGGATGGGCTTCTTGAAATAAGGCTAGTAGGAGTGGTCATTAGTGCTAAATGCAGAGATAATTCAAACAAGGTGAGAATGGATAAATCTGTTAGACTTGACAGTGAGGGGACATTGCTGACTTTGGCCAGATCCACAGAGTCAAAGACAGATTATAATAGTTTGAGAGACTCATGGGTGGTAATGAAAGGAAATAGCCAGTATAGGAGGCTCAGTATAAGCCAGTGACATGTAGGATCAGTACACATGTTCCCAATCTCATAATACTCTTTGTTTTCTGACCTCCGCTCCACTTTGCTCATTCAAGGTGGAATCTGCCATGTGGATGAGATTGCATTTAAGGAGCATAGGTACACAGATCGTAGCCTCCTGCCTTCTCCCTTTTTGCCATTCCTAACCACTCTCCCACTACTGCCTTGACCCATGAACTCAAAGAAGTTCATTTTTCCAGTTGCAAGGTTGGGAAGACAGACACAATCACTGCATTAACAGACTTGGTCCCAATACATCTTGTGGTTATTGATCTTTCCTGCTTAATTTTAAGCTGGTGCAGACTTCATTAATATCATTATATGATGATGATGATAACTACTAGCTGTGTGGTAGTTACTTGTTAACCTCTCAGAACTTTAATATCTTTATCATTAAACTGAAAATATGAGTATGTAAGTCATAGGTTGCAATAATTAAGAGAAGTAATGCATATAAAGCACTTAGCATGGGGCTTGAAACTCAATGCATGTAAGCATTTATTATAATTTATCAACCACCTACAGTATACCAGGCAGGTGCTGAGAAATTCAGTTTCTCCAATCCTATATGCTTTCTCGTTATCAGAGCTTTGCAAATAACCTGGAACACCCTTTCCTGACTGGCTAACTCCTGCTTCTTGATTGGAACACATCTCAGTGATGAGAAGTCTTCCATGACTCTGCACACAGAGAGGAGTATGCTTCTGTCTTCCTCCCTCCCTACACTGTGAGCTATGCATGGACAAAGTTATATGTGTTCATTTAGCTCTGTGCCCAAGGTTTAGGTGTTGGCTTCATTAATATTCATTAATTGATGAATATATTATCTTAGTTCTCTTAATCACCAAGTCCATAAAGCATTTATTATTATCAAGATAAGGAAACAAAAGCCCGGGGTGTTAAGAAAATGGCCCATGATTGCACAGTTAGGGAAGTAGTGGAATTAAGATGGAATCTACATCATCCGATTAAAAAGATCATGCTCTTTTTTTCTCACTGTTCAGCCTCCCTTCAAACTGGCATGCCACGAGAGGTACCCAGCCATCAGGTGTGCTGAAGATAATTTCAGTTGGCTCCTCTTGAAATATCAGACTCTGTGGCTCCAATCCCATATGTCAGGCACACAGCTGGAATTGAGGAGCAGCTAGGCGTGGACTCTCCTGTTTATCCCATCCCCTGCTCTCCCCTCTCCCTTTTGTCTCCTCGACATGTAAGCCTGGCATCCTTTGCCATTGAACATCGTGCTCTCTCCCCATCAGCCTGCACCATTATCCACATCACTGGCCTGGCCCTGCAGCTGCTTGAGGTTGCCCCCCAAACCCCCCAGTATAGAAAGACACAAAAAAGAGATACTTCCAGAATCCTTTGTCCCTGTTTAAATTTGACTGTGCTCTCTCCTTTTCTTAACCTCAGTGATGGATTATTTTTCTAATTTTGTTTTCTTGAAGATGGCATCAAATTGGGTTTGTAATATGTCCTAGTTCGTTTTGTGGTGCTATAACAGAATACTGGAGACTGGGTAATTTTTTAGAAATGTATTCCCCATGGTTCTAGAGGCTTGGAAGTCAGAACAAACTTGGTGGCAGATTCGTTGTCTGGGAGGGCTGCTCTCTGCTGCCAAGATGGTTCTTTGTGGGTTTTGTTTGTTTGTGTTTGTTTTTGTTTTGAGACAGAGTCTCACTCTGTCACCCAGACTGGAGTACAGTGGCACGATCTCGGCTCATTGCAACCTCCGCCTCCCTGGTTCAAGCGATTCTCCTGCATCAGCCTCCTGCGTAGCTGAGATTATAGGTGTGTGCCACCATGCCTGGCTAATTTTTTGTATTTTTAATAGAGACGGGGTTTCACTATGTTGGCCAAGCTGGTGTCTAACCCCTGACCTTAGGTTATCCCCCAACCTCGGCCTCCCAAAGTGCTGGGATTATAGGTGTGAGCCACCACGCCCGGCCCCAAGATGGTTCTTTGAACACTGCATCCTGCAGAGGGGAGGAACGCCATGTTCTCACGTGGAAGAAGGTGGAAAGGCAAAAAAAATGGGACCAAACTCTCTCTTGTCAAGCTTTTTTTTTTTTAATCATTATGTATTAAATGTATTGATGTAATACATTATGTATGTATTGATGTAATACATTATGTATTAAATGTATTAATGTAATGAATACATTATGCATTAATGTATTCATGAGGGTGGGGCCCTCATGACCTAAACACCTCCCATAAGGCCCCACCTCTGCTGCTGCATTGGGAATTAAGCTTCCAACACATGAATGTTGGGGGACACCATAGCACAATACCTAAGCACGCACCAGTGAGAGAGGAGGAAGTTATTTCAGGGAATGCTGAATAGAGGAGAATGCATAAGGGTAGACAGACAGGATTTAGGGAGTTCTTCCTTTGGTGGAAACTGGCAAGTAACTGGAATCCCATTTTCAGGCAAATCGTGACCATTGTGGGACTCCAGGATGGGTCTGATTGGACCACAAGGGTCTCTTCTCCCGGGTCTTCACTCACTGTGAAGGAGTTAGGTGTTGGTCGTAGAGTTTTCCTTATATCCTCTCCTGTGGACCAACATAGGTTAATTTTTCTAGACACTTAAGATGAAACTAAATTGGCCAGCGTTGTGACATGGATCCTTTTCCTGATTAGCAATCCAGCCTTGCACTGTGTTGACTTATTTTTGCAGAACCAGAGGTGAGGAAGGGAACTTCTTTTTTTTTTTTTGAGATGGAGTCTCGCTCTGTTGCCCAGGCTGGAGTGCAGTGGTGCAATCTCAGCTCACTGCACCCTCTGCCTCCCAGGTTCAAACGATTCTCCTGCCTCAGCCTCCTCAGTAGCTGGGATTATAGACACGCACCACCACACCCAGCTAATTTTTGTATTTTTAGTAGAGACAGGGTTTCACCATGTTGGTCAGGCTGGTCTCGAACTCCTGACCTCAGGTGATCCACCCGCCTCAGCCTCCCAAAGTGCTGGGATTACAGGCGTGAGCCACCGCGCCTAGCTGGGAAGGGAACTTCTAAATGGCCATGGCCCTCACACCCACCTACTTGACTGGTGCCCTAGATGCTAGCAGTCAGGGAAGATGCCACCAGCGACCTCCATGTTGCCAAACCCAGCTGCCAGCCCCCAGCTCTCATCTCATTTGACTTCTCAGCCACCTCCAACTGCCGGTGACTCCTCCATGGCACACGTTTTATTTTCTCCTGGCTTTTAGGTGCTCATCGCAGTCTCTTTGTGGTTCTTCAATCTTCTTGGTCCCTCCCAGGAGTTCCCATTGCTGGCTCCTCTTCTCGTTCTACCTGACTCCCATTTTATAGATATTCCATGTTACAGATACGGAAATTGCAGAACCAAGAGATTAATTAAGTAGTTAGCCAGGATGCAGACCCGAGCAGCCTGCCTCTAGAATGTGAACCACTGTGACTCCGAGGAGGTGAAGTTGTCAGAACTAGGCAGTGCACGGCGTTTCCTTATGTCTTCCGAGACACTTTCCCGTAATCTCTTCATGCCAGGAACCTGGGCTGTTTCCCTGGTTACAGGGACCTGCCTCTAGAGGAAAGGATGGAGTTAAAAAGAGAGAATGAGATGGAGGGAGGGAGGTGTGTATGTATGTGAAAGAGATCAACAGCCAGGGTCAGGTTGAGGATTGGTAATTCCATGCCACCGTAGCACCAGGGAAACCCATCCAGCTAATACTCTGCCCTTCCATCCATGCTGTTTCTTTGGTTTATGCAGAACCCGGGCAAGCCTACCATCTGCACCCACCCCTACCCCTTCATTTGGCATAGGAAGCCTCACTGCTCACTCACACTCACATCCCCTCCCCTGCTCGCCAGTTTTGCCAGATTGGAGCAAAAGAGGATACGAACTACCCATATACCTGAGTGAGCTGAGAGGAGGGGCTCGGGGAAAAAAGATATACAGAAGAGGAGGCTGTGGGGGGCTTTGGAGGATAACCTTTATCAAATTCACAGTTTCCCCACTGGTTAGCTCTGCCACGCTGGAAAAGGTGAATTTACTCTGTGAGCAACACCTGAATTGTTTTTGTTACAAAGAGGGACTCAGAGGGCTGGCTAGAGACCGAGATCTCATAAGTTCTGTTTCTGTAGATGAGCAAGCAGAAGTCTTCCCTGGTTGTAAGTAGTATGTTGACTTCTCTGAATCCTCCTTCACTCTCGCCCATTCTCTTGCCTTGGATGCACCAGTAGGCTCAGCTGTGACAGGGGAAGGGGACTTGTTTGTTAATGAGTTAATTCTAAGTCAGGCACTGCTTTGGGCTCTAGAGCCCTGAGAGATGAGAGATAAGCCTTTATTATCTCCATTTAAGATGGGGAACCTGTGGTTGGGAGAGGTTGCAGAATGGGCCTGAAGTCAGGAGAGAGAGGAGCAGTCAGGTTTGGAAGCTGCTGCTGTCTGGCTCCAAGTCACTTATGTTCACAGGGCTTCCCATTGTATCAGCAAGGTTCTGAGTTATTTATATTGTTTTAAGAACTCCTTGGTCCAGCTGGGCGCGGTGGCTCATGCCTGTAATTCCAGCACTTTGGGAGGCTGAGGCAGGCAGATCACGAGGTCAGGAGATCGAGACCATCCTGGCTAACACGGTGAAAACCTGTCTCTAGTAAAAATACAAAAAATTAGCTGGGTGTGGTGGCGGGCACCTGTAGTCCCAGCTACTTGGGAGGCTGAGGCAGGAGAATGGCGTGAACCCGGGAGGCGGAGCTTGCAGTGAGCCGAGATCGCACCACCGCACTCCAGCCTGGGCAACAGAGCGAGACTCTGTCTAAAATAATAATAATAATAATAATAATAATTCCTTGATCCAATATACTATAGTAGGTTTGTGAATGTTCTTGCAAGTGTCTTGGACAAGACAAGGGCAACAAAACTTTGAACCTGTGCATAGGCAGGGACTGGAGCTGGTCTGCAAAGAGGAGTCAGACCATAAGGAAGAGACTGTGTCAGCTCAGGCCCATGTAGGGGACAAGAACAGAGTGGCAGTCCAAGAAGGACATCAATAGAGCTTGGTATCATTGAATGATGAGGAGGAATCTGGACCAGGTCGGAATTAGGACACTTTTTATTTTAGGTAAGGTACCTGGTATTAATTTCTGTTGCTTGCAGCTAAACAACCCTAAGCAATATATTACAAGACCCACAGTAGACAGACTCAGTAAGCAGCATGTCTTACCAGCACAGTCCTCAGGGGTCTCCAGAGACACAGAGCCAATAGGAGATGTATATAGTATATCCTATAGATAGTAATATATGTATCAATATGCAGAGCTAGATAGTGATATGTGTACTGATAGATTGACAGAGCTTAAGGGATTGGCTCACACTGTTGTGGGGTTGGCAAGTCTGAAATTGACAGAGCAGGCCAGCAGGCTGGAAACTGAGGCAGGATTTCTGTGTTACTGTCCTAAGGCAGTATTCCGTCTTCTCTGGGAAACTCAGTTTTTGTTCTTAAGGCCTTCAACTGATTAGATGAGGCCCACCCACATTATCAAGGGAAATCTCCTTTCCTTAAAGGTAACTGATTGTACATGTTAGCTATTAGGTTGGTGCAAAAGTAATTGCAGTTTAACACGTCTATGAAACACTTGCACAGCAGTGTCTGGACTAGTATGTGACCCAGTAACTGGGCGCCATAGCCTGGGCCATCTGATACAGAAAGGGAACCATCATAGGCATCATGTACCCCGTGCTTAATGTGTGCCAGGCCTTGTAGCAAGCCCTTCCACAAGCACTGTGCTTATCCTCATCAACATATTTTTCAAGTGCATCAACCCCAGGACTCAAAATAGTGAAAGTGACTTGCCCAAGAAGACAGCCTAGTAGAGTCAGAGCTAGACGCCTTGTCTAATGACCACTACACCTGACTGTCCTCCAAAGCTTCCATCTTAATAATCTACATTTAGCAATCTAAAGAGTAATAGAGTAACCCAAAGTCACTCAGCTTCTCAGGGTGGGCCTAGAACTGAAGTCTCCTGGCTGTTCGCCCAGCTTTCTCACTCATCGTCCTGCCCCACTGTTCCTGGAAGACTCTGCATTCTATCCTCTGCAGGACTCACTTTCCAGAGAACTAATGGCTGCAAATTGTTGACCCCTAAGACAGCAAGCCCCATCCAGGGTAAGATGTACTAACAGAACACAGAACAGAAAGACCCAGGCTGCTGTTACCTTCTCAATAAACAGATGAGCTCAGAGTTTGTACCATGAAGCCTTGTTTATTGCTGAAACAACTTCATAATGAGACCCTTTCAGGACATCGGTATTGAAACCTACTTGAACTGACTCTGAAATAGATCTATCTGGTGACAGATCCATCTTTGTGGCAGTTTGTATTTTAGTGAGATGAAAGGGAGTTTGCAGAAAGCACTCTGGAATCTGGTGCTATCTATGCAGAGGGAAATAAGGCTTGCTAGGACTGTAATTGTGAGGCATGCTGCTTGCTGAGTCTGTCTGCTTTGGGTCTTCCAGTATATTGGTTAGGGTTGTTTAGTTGCAGGCAACAGAAACTAATACCAGGTAGCTTAAGTAAAATACAAACAAATCAAAGAAAAACAAAGCAAATAATGGATGGGTTATCTTATAGAATCAAACTAGGACTTGGAAAACCAACACATAAGACAGCAATTAACCAGGGCAGCTCTGGGCCCCTCTGCAGCAGTTCAGAAGTCTTTAGAGCATGGTCTGTCATCACTGAAAGTCAATTCTGTGCTTTCCCAGTCTCTATTTCTATTCAAATTTCCAAGAGTAAGAAACTGATGTGCTCAGCCTGGGTCAAGTGTCTAATCCTAAACAACCTGCCCTTGCCAGGGGTGCAGGTAGGGCAGGCAGAGAGCTCTGAGAGCTTGCTTCTATGTATAGGGGCAGGTTGCCCCCATAGAAAGGGGAATTATTTTCTAGCAGGAATTAATCTCTAAGAAGCAGCTCCTATAGCAACTGATGATAATAGTAACTTGATCCTTATATAGATACAAACATCCATGTTTGTAGATCTCTGTATCCATCGTGTATATATGTGTATGTGTCTTTATATCTTGCCCATTCCCTTTATAGTTCTGCCCTCGCAGCCTTCTATTCTGTTTCTATAGCATTGTATTCTAAAATAATCAGCTACAAATGCAATCTGGGGCCCCAGTTTAGAGAGATTTGTCCTTAGGCTTCTAGCATCTCGAGACGTTTATATGAATGTAAGCACCATGCGGGCAGAGACTTTGCTTGTTCTTTTCACCCTGTATCTTCAAGTGCCTGGCACATCATAGGTGCTGGGTGATTGCTGAATGGGTAGCAACCACCCACCAATACTGGGACACCTTCCCCCCTGCCCCAGGGATTCCAAGGGCTTTGCTGTCTTGGTCCAAGTATATTCTTTAGATCCATATATCCCACCCCCAATACCCAGAATCAATAGATAAGGTACCCACCTCTCCAGGGGGAAAGGTAAATAGCCTAGCTCTGCCCCTATCCAATAGAGGATTGATACAAAAGAGAGTGCTAGCTGACACTAGATGCCTGGCCACAGAGGAGGGAATCTTGGATGTTTGAAAACTAACATTGTTCAGACAGACAAAGCGGGAGAAGAATCCAGGCTGGGACAGGCTGACTCAAACCTCTGGTCCTCAGACTGGCTAAGTAGAGCTCGTCCACACTCTGTATCTTGCTGTCGTCCTTTACGAACCTCCTCTGGAATAGTGGTGAGAGAGCTATATATTATTTGGTATATAGTTAACATGAGCACTATGGTAAAGAGTGAACTGCAAATGATATTCAGAGGGTTCCAAAATGAACTTCCAGCCCATCCCAACCACCCCCTCTCTACTGGGAGCTGGTGAGATCCATTAACCACGGATGGTTTTAGGAAACTGTCCTTATTCTGACCTGATCCAGGTTCCCCCTCATTATTCAATGATACGAAGCCCTGCTGATGTCCTGTGTCCTTCTGGGACTGCCACCCTGTTTTGTCCCATTCAGGCCTGGGCTAACTTAGTCACTTCCTTATGGTATGATTCCTCTTTGCACGCCAGCTCTAGTCCCTGCTAATGCACAGGCTCAACGTCTGGTTGAGTGAAGTGACTTTAATAATACAGCAATGGAGGACAAGGTTTTTTTGTTTGTTTGTTTGTTTGTTTTGTGACAGGGTCTCGCTCTGTCGCCCAGGGTGGAACACAGTGGCGTGATCTCAGCTCACTGCAACCTCCACCTCCCAGGTTCAAGCGATTCTCCTGCCTCAGCCTCCTGAATAGCTGGGACTACCAGCACCCCCCACCACGCCCGGCTAATTTTTGTATTTTTAGTAGAGACAGGGTTTCACCATATTGGCCAGGCTGGTCTCAAACTCCTGACCTTGTGATCCGCCTGCCTAAGCCTCCCGAAGGGCTGGGATTACAGGCGTGAGCCACCATGCCTGGCCTTCAATGGACAGTTGTATGGCCAAGGAGGGCTGCTGCTTTCAGTGGTTTTTCAAAATGCCTTACAATGCCTACCTTTTCCCCAGGAAAGGCTGCTTTCTGTATCTCAGAGATGGAAACAGACAGCCATGATGACCCTGAGACCCAAAGGTCAGTGTCCAAGCAGGAGCCAGAATGAATTCCTAGGTCCTGGCCAAGAGTGATCACAGAATATCCAAGCCAGGGAGTCGTGATAGCACTGCAGTGTAATAGTGACCACTTGTCCCAGCATGCCTGCCCCGGCCAGGTGTGCCAAGTGGCAGTATATGACGACCTTGTTCGGTCCACAGGAGGTAGATGTTATTGCCATCATTTTAGGGACGAGGGACCAAAGGTAGTGAGGAGCTAAATCGCTTTCCCAGGATGGCAGGTCTCATAAAGTGACCTTGCCAGGGTTCAAATCCAGTCTGTGTTTATTAAAAGCCTCATGCTGGCCGGGCGCAGTGGTGCACACCTGTAATCCCAGCACTTTGGGAGGCCAAGGCGGGCGGATCACAAGGTCAAGAGATCAAGACCATCCTGCCAACACGGTGAAACCCAGTCTCTACTAAAAATACAAAAATTAGATGGACGTGGCAGCATGTGCCTGTAGTCCCAGCTACTCGGGAGACTGAGACAGGAGAATCGCTTGAACCCGGGAGGCTGAGGTTGCCGTGAGCCAAGATTGCACCACTGCACTCCAGCCTGGGCAACAGAGCAAGACTCCATCTCCAAAAAAAAAAAGCCTCATGCCATATGGCACTAAATGCTTGGCCGTGGATGGCTCTCCATGAGCCTTTCTCCCTTTCCAAGTAACCACCACAGAGCTGAGAAAAGGCAGACAAACCCAGGCGTGCAGGATCGGGTCTCGGAGGAGCAGAGTGGAAGGCCAGGCACTAAGGCAAGACTTTAACTTTCTCTTAGGGAGATACCAGAGCTCTGTCTCACCAGCACTGGCTGCCTAGGGTGGCTGTGGCTGCTTTAAAGGCTTGGAGTCTGGAGAATTCAAGGAGTTGAGGAGTCACTGAAATGGAACCTGAAAGTGCCCAGTTTGGTGATTCTCTCATCGGCTCTCTGTCCACCTGCTCTGGTGCGGCCAGGGGTGCAGTCGGAGTGATTGACCAGCCCAGGGAACCAAGCAGGCTGGGCTGTAACCCCTGTGATCCTTTGAAGCCTTCCTTCTGTGCCTGGCTGGCAGGAGCACACACTGAAAACATGTGGGAGGTTCTCCCAGCCCCTCAGTCTGGTCTGCCCTCTGTTTATTCTCCAGGAAGACCAAGTTCTCTGTCTCGGGGACAGCAGATCCCATTCCACTCTGGGTTCCCCAAGTGTTTAGCAACTTGCTTTGCCTCCCAGGGCTCCCCATCTTTCTTCTTTTCTTTTCCTTTTCTTTCTTTCCTTCTTTCTCTTTCTTTTCCTTCTTTTTTCTTTCTTTACTTTTTCTTTCTTTTCCTTCTTTTTTCTTTCTTTACTTTTTCTTTCTTTTCTTTTCTTTCCTTTCTTTTCTCTTCCTTTCTTTCTTTCTTTCTCTTTCTTCCCCCCACCTTTTTTTTGACAGAATCTATCTCTGTCACCCAGGCTGGAGTGCAATGGCGTAATCTCAGCTCATTGCAACCTCTGCCTCCCGGGCTCCAGCAATTGTCATGCCTCAGTCCCCCAAGTAGCTGGGACTACAGGTGTGTGCCACCATGCCCCACCAATTTGTTTGTATTTTTAGTGGAAACGGGGTTTCACCTTGTTGGCCAGGCTGGTCTCAAACTCCTGAACTCAAGTGATCCTCCTGCCTCGGCCTCTCAAAGGCTGGGATTACAGACGTGAGCCATCGCACCTGGCCCAGTTTCCCCATCTTTAATTGAGAGGATGACCTGAGCTTTCTTTCCCACACTTCCCCGGGCCAATGACCACCCCGCCCTCATGGGGGAAAGACCTTGGCCTGGTGTCACAGGGACTCTGTCTCTCTGCCTGTCCCCTCTTTTCAGGAAGTCTGTCATCCAGCTCGATCTTGCCAACACCAAGAAAGCAATGATTGTCCCCGCGTTCGAGACACTGCGCTACCGGCTGTCCTTCCCCAAGTCAAAAGCGGAGTTGCTGTCAATGCTGGACATGGGGACCCTCTTCACATTCAGGTGAGTGGCTCTAGCTGCTGTACTCTGGGGGTGCTCGAAGGCCTTCTTTCTCCTGGGAAACCCAGATGCCAAAGCTATCGATCTGGAAGTTTGTCGCTCGCCTTAGTCCATTGTGAGGCCAGGAAAGCACCGCTTTCTCCAGACAACGTCCTTGTAATCTCCCTCCTCTCCCCATGCCGGTACGTGCCATGTACTTTTTTGTGCATGGATGACAGACGTTATGTGTTCAGATGGAAGGGTAGGCATGTTTGGAGGGTGGAAGGGTAGGAAGGTTTAGCTTATTTCTGTTTGTCCTTTTTTCTAAACTCAGTTTAGGTTCCTGCTGCCATCTCCTGGCTCCGAGTTCTCCCTTTTGTGTGCTTGTCCATTCATTCGTCTGGTAGGTGGGTTTCATTCTATTAGCACCACTGTGGCAGTTTTCCTTTTTATTTGTGGTATGAGTGGTCTGTTCTTTGAGCCCCTGAGGCCTGGGGGACGTGTAGCCGTTGTGTCAACAACTTCAAGTCATCAAGGTGACCCAGCACATGTGGCAGCCAGCTTTCCTGTTGCCCAAGTGACAGTCGCAAACAGAACCCTGATTTTCCTTTTTTCCCAGGCCCCCGAGTCCTGCAGGAACATTGCAAGGGAGCTCCCCTGTCACCTGTCCCCAGTGTCCCAGGAGTCTGTGCCACCGCACAGGAGCAAACAGGTTCCATGTCCTGGGGACAGGCTGCAGCATTACATGTAGTGATCCAGGGGAAAGTAGGTGGCCTGCTAGGTGCCGTAACTGAGCAGTCTAAAGAGAGGGCTGGTACGTCTGCCTGCTCCAGGTGTTTGCTTGTGTTTGTTTGTTTGTTTGTTTTGTTTGTTTGTTTTTGAGACAGAGCTTCGCTTTTATTGCCCAGGCTGGAGTGCAATGGCGTGGTCTCGGCTCACTGCGACCTCCGCCTCCTGGGTTCAAGCAATTCTCCTGCCTCAGTCACCTGAGTAGCTGGGATTACAGGCATGTGCCACCATGCCCGGCAAATTTTGTATTTTTTAGTAGAGACGGGGTTTCTCCATATTGGTCAGGCTGGTCTCGAACTCCTGACCTCAGGTGATCCACCTGCCTTGGCCTCCCAAAGTGCTGGGATTACAGGCCTAAGCCACTGCGCCTGGCCCTGCTCCAGTGTTAAAGTGAGGCCACCCTTGTGAATGATGTCAGAATGGCCAACACTTCCTGGAAGCTAAAAAGCATACGTTTCTAGACCATCGGAATTTTACTGAAAACATTATAGTCTTAATAACTTGGGTTTTCCTACCACAATTAAGTTTCTAGAAATTTCTAGCAAGTTTCCTCAAATAAACTTTATCTTGTGAAAATAACTTTATGAGGTGGGTTGTTCGTTCAACAGTTCAGAGGCTATCATTTTTCACATTTTATACAGATGAAGAAACTGAGGAGTGGAGAGGTCCCAGTAGAGCCAAGACTCAAACTCCAGGCTTCTTCCTCTATCCAGAATTCTGGAAAGTGGCCTGGAAGAGTTAGTAACCCCCCACCCAACCCAAGCCTTCCTTCTTTTCTGAAAGAAATAACTACCACTTATTGTGTGCTTAGCATGTGCCAGGCACCGTGATTACATATTTAATTCTCACAATAAACCTATGTGACAGATACTATCATCCCCATTGCATGGATAATGAAACTGAGGCTCTGAGAAGTTTAATAACTTGCCCAATGACACACAGCCAGTAAATAGCAGAGCCTGGATTCGTACCAGGTCTGAGGAACCTGTGTTCTCAGTCAGAATGCCATCCAGCTACTGATTGAGTCCTGAATTTTTTTTTTTTTAACCAGTGTTTAAAGATGCAGAGTAAAAACTTGCTCCTCAGAATTGAGACTTTCAAACCAAACCTTAATATAAGTCTCCCATGAATGCCATAGTCTGATGGCTGAGCACCTGACACATTTCCAAGGCATCCTTCCTGCCGTCTTCATACCACAGTGAACCGAGAACTCATTTCACAGCCACATTTGTGGCCACAAGAGCTGGGGTGTGGCCTGCTGTGTCCGTGATTGCTGCTCTGGCCAGCAGCTTGCCAGCCATCATGCCAAGTGCTAAGTTACAGCCCTTGTCTCCGAGAAATTGCTATTGTCACCTGCTCTCCAAATAACAAACTCTTCAGCCTCTGAGCAGCCGAAATCTGCTCCCTACCACACCTGGAATGAGAAAACATCCACACCCCTACAAGTCCTCTAGGGCGGTGGCTCCAGAATGCGGTCCCTGGACCAGTGGCTTCAGCATCACTTAGGAACTTGTTAGAAATGCAGAGGCTCAAGCCTAGCCCAGACCTCCTGCATCAGAAACTCTGGAATTGGAACCAGTCTTCCAGATAATTCTAATGCATACTCAAGTTTGAGAACCACTGCTTAAAGCAAAGTGCCCCAAATCTCTTCTCCCCAGTAGCATCCTGTAAGGTGTACCTAGGAAACCTCTCTCATCTTCCCATCCCTTTTTTAGCAGGGAAGGAGGCTACCTGGCATTTGGCAATAGGTCATTCACAGGCTGGGGCTTGTTTTAACGAGAGGTTCATTGTAACTTGACTGCACCCTGTGCTGCCCAGCCTTTCTGCAAGCTGCCAGTGTCCAGGCTAAACTGATCAAAGCTGCCTCCTCAGCCAGATGACTAGAACTGACCCAGCTGTCCCTACAATGGAGTGCAATGGCGCCGTCTCCCCCATTGTTTTCCCTTCCTTTTCACATTATAATTTTCTGAGAGTTTAGATTCTAAAGGTGGATGACCAATAACATGGCTGTCAATATCACTGAGAGCAAGACCACCAGGAATTGACATCATATCTGGGAAGCAAACAAGGAGAAATAATAAAGAGAATTTTCTCTTTCTCTTTTTTTTTTTTTTTTTTTTTGAGGAGTTACCATATATCAGAAACTACTCTGAGTACTGTATGTGAATTAAGTCACATAATCATCATAAATCTATGAAGTAGATATTGCTGTGTCCGTTTTGCCAAGAGAAGGAAACAAAGGTGCCAAGTAGTTAATGTACCCATACCTGTTGAATGACAGAATTGGAACCCAGGCAGGCAGCCTCCAGAACCATTGCTTTTAACCACTTTGTTATAAAACTAGCATTTATTGAATTCCTCTTAGATGTCAATACTGCGCCAGACTCTTTATATTTTCTCACTTAAGCTCTTTGGCAGTTCAACCAGATAGGTATTCTTTTCCCCAGTTGACACAAAAGGAAATTAACGGCTAATTAAAGCATTTTGTTCTGCAAGGCATTCAGCTCCTAAGTGGCAGAGGTGGGATTTGAACCCTGGCCTGATGGCTCCATTGTGCTTTAAAACCTCATACAAGTTCACGGCCATCAGCTGTGCTGTGCCAGTTCTGTTGAAGGCATCAGGTGTTAAGACTGCCCATTCAGCAAGTTCACAAATGGAAAAGCAACTGCTTCTGGGCCTAATTGTTGGATCATGCCCGAAATTGACATCTCCCGCAATATCCCTTTTCCACACTCCATGAAAATGGCATTGCTTCACCTTTCATTTTTCTTCCATTTAAGTGGCTTTGGTTTTGATGGAAGTTGCTGTGTTGATGGAGCTGAAGTTCAAGTTCCTGCCCTCCCCTAGCCTGGCTGTCTCACCCAACAGCACAACTTGATCAAAGCCCACCCATTGGCCAGTGCCCATTCAGCTGCACTGGCCAGTTCCCTGAGGGTTTGGGGGGAGTCCAGCCTCAGTGGTAGAAAAGCAAAAGAAGGAAGCAGTTGCATTCCCTGCCAGAAAGTGTCCCATTGGCCACACGGAACACTCAGTCTCACTTAGCGCCTCCCTTGCTTTGGAGAGACTGCCCACAGGATGAGATGGAACCCAGACTTCCACTTCCTCTCTCCCTGCAGCTATGCTCTTGGGTTCCCACCCTTCTGTCTTGTTTTCATTTCATGAAGCTTTTCTTTCCAGCTCTGGATACTCTTCCTAACTCTTCTCTTGGGCCCTGTCTAGTCCTTCACTAGATGCCCAGCTTCCTGCCGTCTCTCTGTAGCTTCTAGAGGCATATTGCCATCTCACACATGGACCTGTCTCAGGTGCCTCTCATGTTGTTAGGTTACTCATTCATTCATTCAGTTTAGTGCACAATTGTTGAGTACTCGTTCAACAGGCCAGGAAGTGTGGGGGACAGGGACATATAAGAGAGGTGACCCAGCCGGCCGTGGTGGCTCATGCCTGTAATCCCAGCACTGTGGGAGGCCAAGACGGGCGGATCATGAGGTCAAGAGATGGAGACCATCCTGGCCAACATGGTGAAACCCCGTGTCTACTAAAAATACAAAAATTAGCCAGGCGTGGTGATGCGTGCCTGTAGTCCTAGCCACTTGGGAGGCTGAGGCAGGAGAATCGCTTGAACCGGGGAGGCAGAGGTTGCAGTGAGCCAAGATCGTGCCACTGCACTCCAGCCTGGAGACAGAGCGAGACTCCATCCCAAAAAATAAAAAAATAAAAAAAGAGAGGTGAAGTGCTTAAGGAGGCTCCTGGCCTTTGAGCAAGGCTTCCCGGGTTTGAATCACAACTCCACCACTGACTACTTGTACTTTGACATTTGGTAAGTTATAAGAATTTAAAACAATATCTGCGTGTGTGTGTGTGTGTGTGTGTGTGTGTGTGTGTGAGAGAGAGAGATTTAAAATAGTCCCAGTACACAGTAAGTGGTTAACTAATATTAGCTGCTTCTTATTGTGGTTATATGATTGTATTCATTTGCTACTACTGTATAACAAATTACCACAAACATAGCAGCTTGAAACAAATTTGTGATCTCACAGTCTCTAGGGATCAGAGATTCAGGCATGGAATGACTGGATTCTCTGCTTGGGATCTCACTGGGCTGAAATCAAGGAGTCAGCAGACCTGCATTTCTCCTCTTCCCAGATCACTGGTGGTTAGCAGAATTTCTCTCCTTTCGTTCCTAGGCCTAAGGTCCCATTTTCCTGCTGGCTTTTGGCCAGGGACTGCTCTCCTAGAGTCTAGTTAATTTGCCACATGGCCCCCATAGGCAGCTCCCAACATAGCTCCTTGCTTTCTTCCAGACCCAGGTCTAAAGGGTCACATGATTCAATCATCTCCCATTTTCACACAAAGTAAAGTGGTGAGTAACCTTATTTATATCTAGAACAATCCCTTCTGCCATATAATGTACCATAATCCCAGGAGTGATCACATACATACTCACAGGTTCTGCCTCAAGGGGAGAGCATTGGACAGGGTGAGAGTCATGGGGGACCGTCTGATACTCCTACCACAGTCTGGCAGCAATCACTACACAAGCTCACCTGCAGTCAATTCCTGAGAAATGACATGGAGCCCTCCAGGAGTTCCTTTTCATAGTGAGAATCTCCTCGTTAGTGAAATGTGCAGATAGCAGATGGGATTAGGGTTTCCTGCAGCTGCTGCAGCAAAATACTACAAACTGGATGGCTTAACATAATAGAAATTTATTCTCTCACAATTCTGGAGGCCGGAAGTCCAAGATCAAGCTGTCAGCAGGTCCATGCTTCTTCCCTGAGGTCCTAGGCCTCCGTCTGGTGATTGCCAGCAGTGTTTAGCAATCTTTGATTTATAGATGCACCCGTCATCCAATCTCTCCCAATGTCTATACATGGTATTCTTGCTGTGTGTCTCTGTGTCTAAATTTTCCCCTTCTTATAAGGACAACAAATATTGGATTAGTGCCACCCCAATCCACTGTGATCTCATGATAACCTCATTATATCTGCAAAGATCCTGATTCCAAATAGGTCCCATTCACAGGTACTGGGGGTTAGGACTTCAACATAGCTTTTGGGAGGGAGACAGTTCAACTCACCCGAGGACTACATCAGTGTACACCCCTTCTTCCTCCACATCGGCTGCATTTGGAGAGCTTGGCTTCCTTCCCTACACCCAATGGCTTTTCTCCGTGTGTCTCAGGTACCACGTCTGGACGAAAGGCCACGCACCCACAAACTTCGCCAAGTGGCGGACCGCCACCACGCCTTACCGGGTTGAGTGGGAGGCCGATTTTGAGCCGTATGTTGTTGTGAGACGTGACTGCCCGGAGTACGACCGGAGGTTTGTAGGCTTTGGCTGGAACAAAGTGGCTCATATCATGGAGCTGGATGTGCAGGTGAGAAGAACGGAGCATCCACCTGGTATGGTCGACGGGGGAGAGGCCTAGATCCTAGAGCTTAAGGGATCCTTGGAGACAAGAAAGCAGAGAGCTAAGAGGGAACAAGATATGCTTGAGGACCAGTGGTAGTACTGATCCTTGGGCTCTTGATCCCAAACCATTGCTCCTTCCTCAACCCTTGGGTGAGAGTTGGGTTCTTGGCCAGGACCCAGGTAAATGTGAGTTTCCTGTGACAAACCATTTCATCTTCTCATCCTCACCCAACCTGATGATGAAGACAAGCAAATGTGACCATTCATCACTTGGTCTTTGAGTCACGTAACAGACACGAAGCATCCTTAGAGTTCCATATACATGACAAAGCATGCTGCTAAGATGCAGCTAGTTATTCCACCCTTTACTAAAAGATTAATAGATGCATCCATCATTACTAAAAGAGTGGCGACTTTGAGACTGTGTTTAATCACGAACTCCTTCATTCATCCAACTGATACGTATTGAGCTCCTACTTCAAAGTATGAATCTTCTACAGAATTCTAGTAGGTGAAACCAAGGATCAGCACACATTTTCTGTAAAGGACCAGATAGTAAGTGTTTTGAGCTTCATGGGACCTACAGGTCTCCTTTTCAACTACTTAACTCTGCTATTGTAGTTCAGTCTTACAGTCTTTAAACAAATGGGTGTGGCTGTTTCAATAAAACTTTGTGTACAAAAACATGAAATGGACCAGACATGCTTCAATTTTTCAGCCCCTGTGTTAAACAAACAAAAGCAAAACTGCTCTGGTTAAATTAGAAGAAGGATTCCTCGGTCCCTCCAGCCTTTTTTTTTTTTTCTTTTCTTTTCTTTTGTATGCTCTTCTCCAAGATCTCTCCTCCTGGTGCACAGTGCAAATATTTTTCAACAAGAGCACCTCCAATTCAGAAAAAGCTAAGGTTGGATACTGAGCGCTGGCCGTTCATGAGAATCACCAGGAGAACTTTCCTTCCAATAGTTCCAATATGTTTGAGAACAGCCCCAGGTGATTGAGAGGCGTTAGGGTTGAGAACACTGATGTAGATAGGTTATAGAATCATGTCCATATTTAACAACAGAAAGCAGGGCTGTCAGTATCCATATTTTTTATAATACTTTGAATGAGCAGAGTGCCACTCACAGACAACAGTGTTCAGTCAGCCTCAGCTTCTGCTTAAAAGGAATGTCATGTTCATGTGTCCAGCAGTGCTGTGAGATGAACTAGTTCAAAGAAAGTTAATTTTTCTAGCCATGAGACCTGGGCTTTGTTTGTTTTGGACAGTTTTGACAGAATTCTTGAAAATACGTTGCATATTTTCTTTTTTTTCTTTGCGAATAGCATGTCCCAGACATACTCTTAACCTTTTCCAGTACCTTAAGGAAATAATGAGTGCACACCTGCCAGGTATTAACACCCACACCCATGGGGCTAGTGCGGTTGGTGGGGTTCTTTGTCCCTCCATTAAATGTCCCAGACAGTTCAGCTCTGGGAGATCTTGCATTTTCTTTTGATGGTTTTTCTCACTCATTCCTCACCAGCAACTGTCTTTTCTTGCTGCTGTTGTATTGTTCTACCTAAAACAGCCGCCTTTCCCCATCCCAGTTATCCCTGAGTTTATTCTTATCTGCTCTGAGCTGGGAAACTAGATAACAAAAGCTTGTCAGACAATATGTCCAAAATGAGAGTAAATAGATCTGAGTAAAAGTGTGCTGAGTTCTCCTCTAAGCGATATGACCTAAATCTGGGTCACCTGTTTTGGCTATTCAGAGGCCTTTTATTTTTGGCCTGAGTATTAAGCTGTATTCTGCCAAGTTGAGAATACTGGGTGACAGTGTGACCTGCGATAAAGATGTGTCAGGGAGAGGTTTGTTCTTGGTGAGCTTAGGTCCAGCAAAATACTTGTTTTTATTTCATCTGGTCTCTCATTCCTGTTTTGTACCCTCTTTTGCACTCATCTGTTGAGACTGTCAGATCGCATCAAGTCCTATGAGGAATCATAAACAGATGTCAGTTAATCGAGCAAGAGAATATCCCATGGCGTGTGTCATCCTAGACTGTCCATGTGGGTGTGAGCTCACATCTATTTATCAAGAAACCTTTTCTAGGCCATGAGCTCGGCTCAGCACTGTTTATACAGTATTGGCTTCTCCGTCATGGTCATCATTCAAGAATATTATTACTTTCACCTTATAGATGAGAACATGAAGGCTCAGAGAAGCCAGTTTCCTGGTCCAAGGTCATGGAAACAGCCCTGAATTACCCCACTCCAAAGCTGTTGTGCTGTCCTTTGCCATCTGCTTGTGGGTGCCATTATCAAGTCATTCATTCACTAGCCATTCAATCATTCGCTTGGGCCTTCATCATGCATGACCCTCGGCTCTTGCGGGTTCTCACGCTGCTCTTGTCTTCTTCCAGGAGTATGAGTTCATTGTGCTGCCCAACGCCTACATGATCCACATGCCTCATGCCCCCAGCTTCGACATTACCAAGTTCCGTTCCAACAAGCAATACCGCATCTGTCTCAAAACCCTCAAGGAAGAGTTTCAGCAGGACATGTCCCGCCGCTACGGCTTTGCTGCCCTGAAATATCTCACAGCCGAGAACAACAGCTAGCACCAAGAAGCCCACCACTAGGGGGAGACATGCTGTAGGGGAAGTGCCACTCGCTGTTTGGGGCCCGGCCTTCAAATTCAAAATTGAGCCATGCTTTTTCGGTTTGTTTTTATTTATCTCTTTGGCCCAGCCAAGCTGCCCTCACTACAGAGACCTTGGACAAGGATCCAGCCAGTCCCTCTCTGCCCCACAACCCTGCATTCCCAGAGGTTAGCTATGCAGCCCACCTAGATGAGTCTCTTCAAGAATGGGAAATCAAGGGGTGACAGGGAGTAAAAGGGTTATCATCTTACTGCAAAGCCACAAGATCAGGGCAGGGCTTTAGGATGTTCTGGATGCTTTTTAATAATTATGCTTCCCATCATAACTGGGGAGAAAGGGAAGTCAGGGTTCTAGGGGTTATTCGTCCCAGGAAATAGAAGTGAAATTGTCTTTATTAAGTGAAAACTTTCCCCTTTGCCCTGCAATGTAGCTGGGCATTCAAACGGAGGGCAAACCGATGATCTAAACCAACCACTTGGAAAAACCCAATGGGGACATTGTAACCAGAGGGTCCTGGAGGTGGGGTTGATGGGTTTCCTTATCCCCAAAGTCACTCCTGTTTTGTTTTGTTTTTCTTTGGGGGTTTTGTTTATTTTTGGGGCTGGCAATCCAAAATAGAAAATCTGATCCTTTGAGGCTCTAAAGGAAAATCAGCTGCCTCTACCAACCACCCTCTATCAGCAGTGGCCCAGGAAGGAGGTCAAGCATCTTCGGCCGATATTTAAACATGGGCAGCTTCCTTCAGGATGATCACCGAGGCTCCCGTGACTTTGAACTCCCTACTCTCCAGAATCCAGGGGCTATAGCGATGGGGACTGCGGAATTACGAGGGCTGGCTGTTTTACACCGGTCACATTTTCTATTGGCAGTGACTGATTCATGGGAAAGGGCTTTGAAGGAACTACTTCAGTGCACACACAAGGTACGAACCTCTCAGGCCTTTCGAAGAACTTTCATAATTCATGAAAGCCCAGTTCTGAAGATTCACGTATCCATCTGGAGACCTACAGGAAGAAAGTGATTGGGTTCCTCTGGTTCTTGCCTGCTTCACTGTGGATGGGAAGAGGTGACAACCTCAGTCTCCCTTTGGGACCTGTCCAAGGGTAGGCAACCACCTTCACCTTCACACAGATTGAGGAGACACTGGACTTTTTACCCATTTTCTTTAATCTTCAATATTAATATTGTGTTTACATTGATGAGAACAAGAGTTAATGCCCTACCCTCTGCTGGGCTGTTTGTATTGAGTTGCAATGTGACCAGCGAAAGCTGCATTTAATAAATGAAAGTACAGACTGTTTCTTCCCCATTCCCCTCCCACTCTTGCAGGAAGCTACTGAGACACACCTTGACATAGAGAGCTAAATTGCAGTGGATAAACAGCAACTTCACACTTTCTGTTCCCCCATTCTATTTTTCTCATCATTTGAACTTTAGCCTTTTTTTTCCCCTTTTGCCTGAAGTTAGATCCCACTCTGTCTCTAACTCAAACCATCTTCAAGTTTTCCATTCCGCATCTTTCTCAACACTGGAGCCAGATGTTGTCTTCTACCAGATGTGGGCTAGGAGGGTAAATCCTGGTAATCAATTGTAAAGGGAACATCCCATCCTTGGGCCTGGTAGTCATGTGGGACCCTATAGCAATCCGGTTTGTGAGATCACTCACGATGTTACATGCTCAAGTGGATGTTACACGGAAATTTATACAAGAATTAGGAAAATTACCATTAGGACTAATTTTTGCATAGATCTAGCTAGGCTTATGTATGTATGTAAATATATATGTAGACAGAGCATACAAGTATATAGCCTATATACAAAGCATTTATAAATAAAAAGTGACATATATGTATAAAGCAGAACAAAAATTTTGAAAGTACATGTCAAAGTCCAATTTGTTCAGTGGTGTGCCAGGCCAGCTTCTACATGCTCACAAGGCCTTTTTGGGCATATTTCCAGTTTCCACGTTCAGTGATTCCTCTGTCCCCATCCCCAAGAGCTAGTTGTTAAATATTTACCAGCAGCATATCATTGACTTTCTCTCTCCCCTGTGTACACACAAGCACACACAGACAGATACACAGATACAGAGGCACTCACTAATTTCTCCTCCTTCCCTAGAGAGGACCACTGTTAGGAGATGTACACATACCGATACAGGTTTTGAATTAATCATTACCAGCTACTTGAGCCAAGTGAAAACCTGATGGTAGCACTGGTTCCTCAATGTTAAAAATCCATTTTTAATTCCCTAAAGCCTTTTTATTTTTAAAATTTTGCTTGGCCCCTGACTCATGCCCAGCCACCTTGCTTTCACTTGCATTTTTATGGGCGTAGCTGGTGACCATGTAATTTGTCATCTAAATCGGGTCACTTCTGAGAATGAAAGGTGCTAATTATTTTTACACAATAGGCATAAACTAGAAGATGATGTACCTTCACGTACAGTGAATTTATTAAGGCCAGAAACTGATACTTCACACCAACAGGAGAAAATCCTATTTCCCCAAAGACAGGTGCCTTACACTGTAAGCCAATCTCACTGAAGGCTGGAGCTCAGACATTGGCGGATGCCCAACTTCAACAGAGAGGCTGCCAACCCAATGGAGGCTGAGGTCCGCAGAGCCAGCAGCCTGCATTCCCAGAACTTACACTGGGAGCAGCAGTTCACTGCCAGCCCCAGCTTATGTGTGGGGAGCTGTAGCCATTTGGGCAGAGGTAATTGCAAAAGATGTTGATTTCTTTGCATCAATTCCCTGGGGGGTAAAACAGGCCTTTAAATGTGTCACACAGATGTTTTCATGCTTAAATAAGCCAATACTAATCTTGGCTTTCAGTTGAGAGGAAGGACAAGGTTCCCTCATTTGGTCCCCTTAACAGTCAGTGTGGAGGGGAACTGAGATGTTTTCAGTAACCACTATGTGCAGAAGCCTTTGGCAGGCATGAGTTCACCGAACCCTTGGAGCAAAACTGCAAAGTGGATATTAACATTTCTACTTGGGGAACCTGAATGCATTCTGTGTAATTAAGTAACTCCTCCAAATTCACATGGTTAATATATGGCAGACCTAGAATTTAAATCAAATCCTACTTCTTTGAATCCAAAGGCACATAACCTGCAATGCTACTTCCTTTCCCAATAAGAAGGAAACAGATATGAAACAGTGACAGACAAGAGAATTTGAACCTATGTAGGAAGATTCTTGGATTTCTAGTCTTCTTCCTTCAACATCCATCCAATAACACACACAGTCCAGACAGCAATCTCCTAAAATATGCCAAATCTTGCTATGCTCATGGACTTCCTGAAAATTAATTTGAAATAGACCTGGGTGATCTATAATCATATTCAGACAGCTGGGTTCCACTCTAGGGGATAGTAATTGATTCTCTGAATGCTTCTCCTGGGTTGTTTCTTAGATTACATGGCTCAGGTAGAGACACTAAGTTTTAAGCTCTCCCTTGTACCCTGACTTAGCATGCTGCTTCAGAGTGATCTCTCTGAATGTGTTGAGCTGATTTACAGAGCACATATTTGCTGAGTTGACTAATAGCCTCTTTGTGCCCCATCATGAAAGGACAGACCCTACTTTAATTCTGTTCCTTTCAAAGACTCTACTGTCTTTGAGTTAAGGCTTCATTTGTGGTCACCAGGCCTTTAGGGAGCTCTGTGTTAGTGAAAGAAATGTGATTCAAATCCCCTCTCAGACACAGCTCCTTCACACTCTTGGTAGAGATAATAAGAACTACCCTTTATTGAACCAAGACTTCTATGGTAGTTGGCAATGATGGATCCTCACAGCTATGTTATAAAATAAGGGAGGTATTATTATCCCCATTATTTAGCTAATAAAACTAGCTCCCAGAGAAATTAATGTGACTTGCCCAAGACCACACAGGCTGCTAATGGAATGCCAGAATTTGAACCAAAATCTGGCTGGCTTCAAAAACCCCTGTCTTTCCACTAAAATGTGCTACTGCCTTCCCATACAATACTGAAATCAGCTTAGCTGCGAGGCTTGTACAGTCGTATCTTCATGTACTTCATATACTTCGTTTTCCTCATTTTTTTTAACCCTAAGGGTTTATTATTCAGCTTAGTGCCATTCAAGTTTATGAAATGTCACTTATCTGCCATATGCATTCTAAGAGGTTTCAGACCCATAGGATCTAATGTCGGATATACCATGATCTTTGTTTCCATTCATTTAACAAAACTCCTTTTAAGAAGTGTCCTTTAATTTCAAGAAATAACTGGTGATATCCAAAAGGAGGTAATGGGGGTGCCACAAAAATGTGGGGTTTCTGACTGTGAATATTTAATGGATTTGGTCATTGGTTTGTTGTAACACATTCGTATAGTCTTTTTTTTTTTTTTTTGAGACAGAGTCTTGCTCTGTCACCCAGGCTGGAGTGTAGTGGCGCGATCTCGGCTCACTGCAAGCTCTGCTTCCCAGGTTCACACCATTCTCCTGCCTCAGCCTCCCGAGTAGCTGGGACTACAGGCGCCCGCCACCACGCCCACCTAATTTTTTGTATTTTTAGTAGAGACAGGGTTTCACCGTTTTAGCCAGGATGGTCTCGATCTCCTGACCTCATGATCCGCCCACCTCGGCCTCCCAAAGTGCTGGGATTACAGGCGTGAGCCACCGGTGGCTCAGGTTAATATAGTCTTAAGAGATAATGTCTTCTGGAATGAAAAAATGTCAGGCAGTTCTGGGAAAGTGTTTCCCAAGGTGTCGTACCAAGGCCATCTGATCAATGAGGCCAGGACAATGTCATGAAATGATTGACAGGGCTCACTGAGAGCAAAGCTTTGACAGATTCCTGGGTAAGTGGTGCTGAAGAAAGAAAATAAGGGCTCTAGTGACATCAGTAATTTCACTGCACTTTTTATCATTTTTTTCTGAATTCCACAAGTAATGTATTGAGCATCTACTCATTGGTGGACATTATGAATGCAACAGTGAACCAGGTACAGTCTACTTTCATGTAAGTGCAATTCATTAGACAGCAGAAAAGTAAACAGATAATGCCAAGGCTGGTTTCACCTTAAGACTTTCACAGAAACGGTTTTAGTTTTGTTTTAGTTTCATTTATTTTTGAAACTGTAAGTTTGAAAACTAACAGGAAAATTGCAAGGATAATACAAATAACTTTATCCCTTACATTTAGATTAACCATTTGTTAACATTTTGCCACATACTCTTCATAGTTTTTTTCCTCAAACATTTGAAAATGAATTGTAGATACCATGCCCCTTTAAATTTAAATACTTTAGTGTGTATTTTTTTAAAACATAACATTGTCTTGTATAACCAAAATACAAGGGTTAAATTCAGAAGTTGTTTTGTTAGTTCAGTGTTTTGAATGAAAAATAAACATGCATACACAAGGCTATGCATATGTCTGTATGCATATGTAATTTTTTGAGTTTATTAATGTTATATAGCATATTATGTGACAAAATTTTATGGCAAGTAGTGCTAAAAAGCCAGATTCAGAAGGTTTACCATCCACATGTATACATTTCTGAGATGATTCAATATGTGGGTCCCTAAGGCAATGTGTACTATAATATGTCACTAACTTAGTCGCCTTATTACCAGACAATGAAAGTGATTATTTTCTACCTGCTTAAAAGTTTTATAACAACTAGGCCGGGCGCGGTGGCTCATGCCTGTAATCCCAGCACTTTGGGAGGCCGAGGCAGGCAGATCACGAGGTCAGGAGATCGAGACCATCCTGGCTAACATGGTGAAACCCCATCTCTACTAAAAATACAAAAAATTAGCCGGGCGTGGTGGCGGGCACCAGTAGTCCCAGCTACTTGGGAGGCTGAGGCAGGAGAATGGTGAGAACCCGGGGGACGGAGCTTGCAATGAGCCAAGATCGCGCCATGCACTCCAGCCTAGGCAACAGAGTGAGACTCCATCTCAAAAAAAAAAAAAAAAAGTTTTTTAACAGCTATTAAGATATTCATCAGTTTCAGTTGAAATGCTTTTTGTGTTAGAATGCGTGTTTATTATGTGTGGATATAAATGTGAACCTTCATAGTTTTTTTAGTTTCTCAGATATGCAAGGAGAAAAGATACATCAAAACGGCGATGTAAGAATTTTTGACTTTTGCGGGCCGGGCATGGTGGCTCACGCCTGTAATCCCAGCACTTTGGGAGGCTGAGGCAGGCGAATCACTTGAGGCCAGGTGTTCCAGACCAGCCTGGCCAACATGGTGAAACCCCATCTCTACTAAAAATACAAAAAATAGCCGGGCACAGTGGCAGATGCCTATAATCCCAGCTACTCGGGAGGCTGAGAGGAGAATCGCCTCAGCCCAGAAGGCGGAGGTTGCAGTGAGCCGAGATCGCGCCACTGAACTCCAGCCTGGGCAACAGAGCAAGACCCCGTCTCAAAAAAAAAAAAATTCTTGAATTTTGCCATTATGTATGGGTCCACATAATCTAGCTCATTAATATTCCAGCTTTGAATCTTCACCCTCCCCAAAGATTATATAATACTTAGGTAAAACTAAGTGACTTGGTTCCTTTCCCCATGAATGTTAAGATCAACATTTAATATTGAGAAGATCAGAAACATCTTCTACGTAAGTGATAGAAAACTGCGTCACCCTACTGATTCCAGCACCAATGCAATGGGAGCGCATAGAGGCCTCTTTATGTGCAGCGGCCTAGCAATCGGCCTCAAGGTAAAAAGCTCCACTTAGAAGTCTCTGAGAAATGCCTCTGTTTTCTTGGTGGTCCCTGGGTACTGGGTCACAATCGGCTGATCACTCTCAGACCCCCGAATCCCAGGAAAACCTACGTAAGTGATGCCTTCTGCAGTCTAGTGCATCTTGTAGTAAGCGAAAGGCAATTCTGAGCTTCACAATTTCATTAACTCTGAGTTATTTGAACATAACCCATGTCTAATTCAGCAGAAAGAAATTGATGGAAGACTTTGATGTAATCCTGTCCTTTGACAACAGATCTGCCTTCAACGTTCTAATATTGTTCAGAGCTATCTTTAAGCAATCGCAGCTACCATTAATGGAGCCCTTGGGCGCTGAGTGCTAAATTTGTTGCTTCCGTAGCTTACAGGACTCCCATGAGAGAAGGGATTTTTTGGGGTTTTATTTGTTTTCTTTTGAGACAGGGTCCCCTCTGTCGCCCAGGCTGGAGTGCAGTAGCACAATCTCAGCTCACTGCAACCTCTGCCTCCCCGGATTCCAGCAGTTCTTGTACCTCAGCCTCCTGAGTAGCTGGGATTACAGGCGAACGCCACCACACCCGGCTAATTTTTGTGTTTTTACTAGATACAGGGTTTTGCCATGTTGGCCAGGCTGGTCTCGAACTCCTGGCCTCAAGTGATCCACCTGCTTCGGACTCCCAAAGTGCTGGGATTACAGGCATGAACCACTGTGACTGGCCATGAGAAGATATTATTTACTAGACGAGGAAACTGAGGCTTGGTGAGATTGAGTAATTGGTGAAGCCACAAATCAAACTCTTTTTTTTTTTTCCTCTGACTCCAAGACTGTTCTCTACAGCTTCCTGAATGGGAGTGAAATGAATGTGAGGTATAAGGACAGGGAGCATGGAGTAAATCAGCAGACAGGAGTCTGTTGGTTGGCCTCATATGATGTTCCCAAACCCGTCATACGTAGGCTCAGCCAGACCAGCTGTTCCCTGCTCAGTTAGCGTCTTAGCCTTTTCATACTCCTGCTGGAGAGTCATGGAGAACAAACATATGCTGGACAATATACATTTTCTTATTTAATCAGCAATGGGAAGCACGATGTAGTATTCTCCATATGTTAAAGATAAGGAAACGGAAGCTCAGAGAGGTTTTAAATAAGAGCCCTGGCTCGGCACTGTGGCTCATGCCTGTAATCCCAGCACTTCGGGAGGCCGAGGCAGGCAGACCAGCTGAGGTCAGGAGTTCAAGACCATCCTGACCAACATGGTGAAACCCCATCTCTACTAAAAATACGAAAAAATTAGCTGGGCATGGTGGCGAGTGCCTGTAGTCCCAGCTACTCGGGAGGCTGAGGCAGGATAATCGCTTGAACCGAGGAGGTGGAGGTTGCAGTGAGCCGAGATAGCACCATTGCACTCCAGCCTGGGCAACAAGAGCGAAACTCCATCTCAAAAAAAAAAAAAAAAAAAGCCCTGAAAATCAGACCTAGGCCCACGTGGCCCCAGTGCTCATGTTTGCTTTCATTCTTTTTTTTTTTTCCCTATTGAGTTCTTGCTTACTGATTTTTATCCCATCTTATATTCTCATGTTTTCAATTGTCTTGATAGTTTCCTAGGGATTCAGATAAACACAAGATTAAGGAATCTTTGCTTTAGAAAGGACTTTAGTAGCCAGAATATGCCTAGTCCTTGGGGAATTTATCTTTTCTTGGCCTGTACCAGTGCTTCTCACACTTGAATGTGTATATGAATCGTTTGTGAGGGTCTCAGGAAAGTCTGACTCTGTTGGTGCTGCCTGCGATTCTGCATTTTCTAACGAACCCCCTTGTGATACAGAGGACCACACATAACACTGTCTCCTTACACCTTTAAGAATCCCCTTATTTCCAGATATTTATGGAGCCTTAACAGCGTGTCTGGCATTCACCACTAGACACTACAGAAACCCTCCTGTAAACAAGTGATTGGTTCATTTTTTAAAATAGTTGCTGGGGGTCCAACAGCTGTGCCAGCTGATAATTATTCAAAAATGAATAAGACACTATCCTTGCCCTCATGAGAGGCAGATGGGTGTGTGAGTAGTGACGTACAGGCTGGTAAAGGGAAGTGGTGCCCAGGATGTGATGGGAGCTTGGGAGAAGGGTGCTCACTCCAGGCCGGGGATCATGGAAGGCTTCTAAGACAGATGACACCTAGTAAGGAAAAAATTATTCTAACACCTGTTAAAACGGTAAGTGAGACTCTATTCAGGACTATTGCCACAATAGGTGTCAAGACGAGAGAGCGCTTGGATTCAGCTCTGAATACAGCAAGGATAGCTGGAGATGGATAGCCAACCAGTGGAATGAGGGGGTCAGTGGATGCAAAATTATTCAGAGGACACATCAAGGGTTGCTTGGTTCTTGCTAAACTGACTTACCAGGATTATTGCTAGAGGCAGTCCAAGAACTTAGACCCCAAAGGTGGGGTATAAAGAATTTGATCAGGCCAGACATGGTGGTTTACGCCTGTAATCCCAGCACTTTCGGAGGCTGAGATGGGAGGGTCACCTGAGGTCAGGAGTTTGAGAACAGCCTGACCAACATGGTGAAATCACCCCATCTCTACTAAAAATAAAAAAAATTAGCCAGGCATGGTGGCACATGCCTGTAATCCCAGCTACTCAGGAGGCTGAAGCAGGAGAATCACTTGAACCTGGGAAGCAGAGGTTGAAGTGAGCCCAGCTGAGATCGTGCCATTGCACTCCAGCCTGGGCAGTAGAGCGAGACTCCATCTCAAAAAAAAAAAAAAAAAAAAAAAAGAATTTGATCAGATGTCAAAGGGGAGAGATTTCCTCTAAAATGACTTAGCAGGATTCTTGTTAAAATTGAACTCAGCAGGCTGAAGATGACAGCGCCCAGTGATAAGGTCTAGTTGGAAAGAGAGCTCACTAGAGTTCATCTAATATTTCATCAAGCAGAGAGACTTTGTTGCACCAGAAGGAAAAGGCAAAAAGGCAAAACTAAGTTTTTGTTTTGTTTTGTTTTGTTTTGATATGAAGTCTCACTCTGTCGCTCGGGCTGGAGTGTAGTGGTGCAATCTCGGCTCACTGCAACCTCCACCTCCCGGGTTCAGGTGATTCTCCTGCCTCAGCTTCCCAAGTAGCTGAGACTACAGGTGTGTGCCACCAAGTGGGCTAATTTTTGTATTTTTAGTAGAGACAGGAATTTCACCACGTTGGCCAGGCTGGTCTCCAACTCCTGACCTCAAGTGATCCACCCGCTTTGGCCTCCCAGAGTGCTGGGATTACAGGCGTGAGCCACTACAAACCTAATTTAAGTTGTGTGCCTCCTATGGAGAAGCCTGAAACTGCCTTCTTTGATTTAGGCCTGATTTCTTCATGAATGGATTAGGATGAGACTTTTTATCCTATGGACTCCCAGAGCCTTTACCTTCACGGTTAAATTTAGTTTGTGAATCTAGACCTATCCCTCTAGCCTTGTCCCTCTGGCCTTAAACAAGACACTTCTCCCTGGAGCTCAGTTTCCATGTCTATAATATGAAGGAGTTGATCTTCTGTGTTTGTAAACACAAATTCAGTTGATTTGCTAATTATGTTAGCAAGCACTTGGGCAGTCCTTGCTATGCTTCAGTCATAGTTCTAAGCGTTTACATTTAGTAAGTTCTATGGTAAGTTAGTTCAGATAGATACTTTTACTAGACCCATTTTACAGAGGGGCAGATCAAAGCACAAAGAAGTTAAGTAATTTGCCCAAAGTCATAACAGTAAGTAGCAGAACTGAGATTTGAACCCAGGTAGCTCAACCCCAGAGTTCGTTCTTAACCGCTGTGCTCTTCTGCATCCCTGATGGGAGATGAAATGGCATCCAGTTGTAACAGGTCCTTCATCGTGCATTTCATGTCCATGGGGAGTGTATTTGTTTTCCACTGCTGTGTAAGAAATTACCACAGATGAAGTGGCTTCAAACAGCACGCATGTATTATCTCATAGTTCCCATGGATCAGGAGTCCAGGTACCAGTTATGGCAGACCTGTGCTCAGGCTCTTGCAAGGCTGCTGAATGCAGGTGTCAGCCATGCTGTGGTTCTCCTCTGGGCCTTGACTTCCTTTTCCAAATTCATTGGTTGTTGGAAGAATTCAGTTCCTTGTGGGTTGCAGGACTGAGAGCTCTGCTCTCTACATGGCTATTGACCCAGGACTTTTCTCAGCTCCTAGAGAGAACACACCACTCCCTGCAAAGGAGTCCTCTCTGCCACATAGCAGCTCACCTCTTCAAAGCCAGCAAGAGCACTTCTCCCTTCATCCTGCTCAACCTGAGTCTTCTATAACACAGCATAATCACATGCGTGATATCCCATCGTATTCCCAGGTCCTGCTCATCTTCACAGAGAGATTATATAGGGAGATACAGCAGGGCTTGGGAATCTTGGAGGTCCTCTTACAAGTCTGACACAGAGAGGAATTCTGATAGGAATTTATGGTCAAAGAAAGGATGTCGGCCGGGCACAGTGGCTCATGTCTGTAATCCCGGCACTTTGGGAGGCTGAGGTGGCGAATCACAAGGTCAGGAGTTTTCGAGACCAGCCTGGCCAACCTGGTGAAACCTCGTCTCGACTAAAAATACAAAAAACTAGCTGGGCATGGTGGTGCGTGCCTGTAATCGCAGCTGCTTGGGAGGCTGAGGCAGAAGAATCACTTGAACCCCCAAGATGGAGGTTTCAGTGAGCTGAGATCAGTCCACTGCAGTCCAACCTGGGCAACAGTGTGAGACTCCAAGAAAGAAAGAACGGAAGGGGAGGGGAGGCGAGCGGAGGGGAGGGGAGGGAAGAAAGAAAAAGAAAGGAGGGAGGGAGTGAAGGAAGGAAGTCAGGAAGGAAAGAAGGAAGGAAGGAAGGAAAGGGAAGGGAAGGAAGGAAGGAAAGGGAAGGGAAGGAAGGAAAGAAGGAAAGAAAGGATGTCTGCAGAGGGAGCCCACTGTCCCTGAAAGAGAATGAGATCATTGGTTATCATCCTGACTGGCAGGCGTAATAGAGTACTGCAGGAGTGTGGAGGGGCTGCCTGACCAGGCTGGGCATCAGTTAACGGTTCCTAAGGAGGTGACTCTGAGTCCAACATTGACAGGTGGGGGCACTGAAGATCTTCCAGCAGAGGAAACAGTTCATGAGGAGGCAAGATGGCATGAGCGGCAGGTGTGCTCAGGAAGAGCAATGGTCTGGGGCCACTGATAGGCACCCGGGGCCCTCTCTAGCCTGTGTCCCCTGGCTGCAGGAGGCCCAGTCGTAGCACCAGCAACCACAGTGATGACTGGCTATGGGGCTTTCAACAGAAAGGAATGGGACTTTCCTAACTGTTCCGTGTACTCCCAGAAAGGGTTTGACTGAAATCAAAGGAGAAGGGACAATTTCCAGGAGTTCTTTTAGGAAGTGGTAGGCCTGGGCATGAGAGCTCCATTCTTGAAGCCGGATGTGCCAGAACCACTGTCTCTACTCACCACTGAACAGCCGGGTGACGGTGAAGCCAGTTTACATCTTTGCCCTTGTTTGCTCACCTATAAAAAAGGAAGAAATCCTGCCCGTCTTTTAAGGCTTTCGTGGAGATCAAAGGCGCTAACATGAGTGTTTACGATACTTTGTCAACTCCAAACACCCCATCAATACATGGCATCGTTTGCTAGAGAACTCTTTCTTTATCCGTTATTTTTTTCTCTTGTTCAGCTGTAGTGCTTCACTAAGTGGGAAAAGAGAGCCAAGAGTTTAGTTCTTATGAGCATTCCTGCAACAGAGATTCCTCTGAGGCATTGATCTTAAGAGCTGAGAGCAAACATCACAGGCAGCACTGCAACTGGTTGCTGTAGAGTTTGATTCTCTACTACAGAGAGAAGCAGTCATTTCAGAGATGAGAAAACAGGCAAAAAGAGCATTATTTTCTAAACTCATTAGCAGAGCAGTCATTGTCTTCTGATTCTGAGTCTCATTTTCTTCACACCTCCCCACACTAACAGAAAGTCAGTATAATTCACCCTCCTCAACTTCTGGAATCAAATACAGGGTTTAGTGCTGGTTTTGGTCTTTTTTTTTTTCTTTTTTGATTTTTGTTTTGTATTATGTCTTGGTTTTTGTTCACTTATTTTTCCTTTTCATACCTTTTATAAAAGAAACAAGATTTTCACACATGCTATTCTTCTGAGAGCCACGTTTGAATTACAATTTGAATTTGGGACACAGAAAAATGGCCCACGTGCCTTTGGTAGAGGCAGCATAAGATCGTCTAAGGAGTGAGCATAGGTAAAGAAGAGAGGGGAGCCTGAGACAGGGCCCCAGAGCACTTCCAGAAGCCTCCATTCTCATTGCTCTCTGGAAGTTTAAACATGGCAAAGCTTCCGTAAAGATAGAATAGATAAACAAAGCGAAACCATGAGAATGTCAGCTACAGCACTGTGTGGAGAAGCCTCTAGCTGTCACAATAAGTAACCTCCACCACCCTCCTCTCTTCAGGCTAACCTGGGCACTGCTTGAGAGAAAGGACCGTGTCTTGTTCACCACTGTGTTCCCACCTTTGGCACACAGGCGAGCACGAAGGGGTGCTGGTACACGCATGCTGAATGAGTGTTGACTGAAATTCCATAATGTTCCGGAGACTGAACTGCTGTTACTTTGGGTCATGCCAGGCATGGTTCTTCCCTTGGGCAATTCATTGGCATTTCATTTTGAAAACCCTGACATTTCTGGGGTGGGGATGTGCCGTTTTCCAATTCTGTGCTCTTTGGAGCACTCTTCAATGAGCCATCAGCAAGAGAGAGCAGCCAGGATGAGTGCTGGGTCCAAGCAGTTCATCAAAAGTGCTCTTTCAGAACCTGCCAGAGCCTGCAAGGGGCTTATGAAGGGGAAAATAAAACGCTCTGGTTGGATGGAGGTTAACAAATAAAGGAAGCAAAGGTTGAAAAGCTTACAATAAATCTTCCACGGGTTTTCTCAAGATTCCTGCGTGACTGAACAATAAAACTGGCAGGCAGAGGCAGACAGCAAAGGAGGCTCTCGGTTCACTGAAGGCAACGAATGTGGGTTCAGCAAACCGCTGTCCCAGGTCCTCTGCTAGATGCATGGCCGGCATTATCTCATTTAATCCCCAGGCAAACCCTATGAAATAGACGCTGTGATCCTCATTTCTCCAGATGGGTCGAGAAGGTGACATAAGAGACTCACAGCCCAGCGGTTGGAAAGGGGCACAGTGGAGCTGTCAGCTCAGGTCAGCCAGACCCCAAAGCCCATGCCTTCCAGCTAGCACATGCCAGGGAGGCCAGAGAGCTTTCAAGTGGGATTTCTCAGAAGCAAATGAAAGAAGAGAGTCTGAGGAAGGTGTTTTTAAATGTTGGTTTTATTATTTAGGGATGCCGTTGAAAAGGCAGTTTGTTACGCACCGTTCCCCAGAGGAGAGGAGGGGGCATGCCACGCCTTACAGGGCCACAGGGGAAGCGCCAGGGTGGGTCAGGAGGCAGGGGGGTGGGAAGAAAATGTGGGCAAGAGGCTTTGCGGGGTTTCAGTGGGAAGGAGCAGGTGAGGTAGGATAAACAGGCTTAGGATTGGCTAGTGTGAATAATTTCAGTGGGCTCTTTGGTGTAAGGGTGATCTCTAGTTGCTCGGTACCTGGTATGTTTATAGCAAGGGAATAATGGCCCAAAGTGAAACTGCTCGATAATGGGAGTTGAGGGTGGTTATAAGCATGGGCTTGGTTAATTTGCATATGGAACGCAAATTGGCCAGACCTGGGAGGGCCAGTCTCTCCAGGGTCAGCAAGACCCCAGATGTCAAAATACCAGATGCATGTGGTAGATACGGAAGAGCAACATTCAACAAGGCAGGCAGGTTGCAGCACAGACCTTCCAAAGTGGCTTAAGAATGGCACTCCTGGGTCTTCTCTAACTTCTGGAAGCAGAGAGTGGAACTTCATCACACCAGAAGAGACCTCACCATTGAATTGTCATCATTTGGAGAAGCCAGGATGGGCCTTATTTTCAGCATCATGACAGCAAGTAATTGTGGATTCAATGACCCAAGTGGGTAAACTAATTGGAATTTAATGAGATTAATCAGAATAAGCTCTGTAGTTCCTGTATCAGAAATGTCAAGACATTGTTTGCTAAGATGAAGATATGCATGTAAAGTGTGTGTGTGTGTCCATGCACACACGCGTACTGTGCACATACAAATCAGGCTTGCAGAGAAATGGAAGGCAGTTGACCAGCCAGGTTGCTAGAAAACTACGATGTGGCAAAAAAGTGAAGGAATTTTTTTCCTAAGTGTCTGTGTGTGTATGTGTGTGTGTGTCCGTGCATGTGTGTGTTTGTGTGTGTGTGTGTGTGTGTGTGTGTGTTGCCCTTTGGATTTCTCGTGGATAGTAATTGAATCTGCCTTCTCTCTCACTTGTCCTTAACATTGTCAATGTGGTTAAAGGTAAGGAATGGGAACAGGAATCAGATAAACCCTTCAGCATTTCTTAGAATAAAGATAAAGTTGGCCGGGTGTAGTGGCTCATGCCTGTAATCCCAGTATTTTGGGAGGCCAAGGCGGGCAAATCACAAGGTCAGGAGTTCAAGACCATCCTGGCCAACATGGTGAAATCTCGTCTCTACTAAAAATACAAATATATTAGCCAGGTGTGGTGGCGGGCGCCCATAATCCCAGCTACTCAGGAGGCTGAGGCAGGAGAATTGCTTGAACCTGGGAGGTGGAGGTTGCAGTGAGCCAAGATCGTGCCACTGTACTCCAGCCTGGATGACAGAGCAAGACTATGTCTTGGAAAAAAAAAAAAAAAGAAGAAACATAAAGTTTATATCAAGGCCTACATGGTGCTGCAGGTTCTGTTCTCTCCTGCTGTTACAGGAAAGGGGTCCCGATCCAGACCCCAAGAGAGGTAAAGGAATCAGAGTGAGTCCACGATACAAAGCAAAAGCAAATTTTCTTAATTACTATATTAGTTACTATATTTTGCAAGAATTGATATTATCTTTAAAACAAAATTAGGAATGCCTCTGTTCTCAAGATATTGGGATATCAGGACACTCCCAAGTCTGGGTTTGTTTAGTAAATGTATTAATTTGTTCCCTTAACCGTAAACATCTAGAGGCTAGAAATACCGAACTTTCTGGAAATGCAGTCCAGAAAGTCCCAGCCTCATGTTCCTAGTCCTCACTCAAGATGGAGTTGCTCTGATTCAAATGCCTCTGACACTTCCATTTCTCCGCATCTAACACCACACTCTACCCAGTTGCCTAAAATGGCCTTTGCTCCTTTACCCAGCAACCTCTCAGGCATTCTTCAGCACTCAGTTCTAGCATCTTTCCCTCAAGAATGCATTGCTTGGCTGAGCATGGTGGCTAACACCTGTAATCCCAGCACTTTGGGAGGCCAAGGTGGGTGGATCACCTGAAGTCAGGAGTTCAAGACCAGACTGGCCAACATGGTGAAACCCCATCTCTACTAAAAAATACAAAAATTAGCCGGGCGTGGTGGTGGATGCCTGTAATCCCAGCTACTTGGGAGGCTGAGGCAGGGAGAATCGCGGTGAACCTGGGAGGTGGAGGTTGCAGTAAGCCAAGATCGTATCACTGCACTCCAGCCTGGGGGACAGAGCAGGACTCTGTAGTCTCAAAAAAATATATATACATTTCTTGATCCCCCCATCCAGGTAAATCCCCCCAACCTATGCTCTCACAGCACCAAGTACTTCTCCTTCCTAACATGGGTCACTGCTGAATTTCACATTTGTTTGTGCAGTGATTTGTTTGATGACTACCTCTCTCTCAAGGCTGTGACTTCTACATATGGGTAAGAACTGGAACTGTTTTTATTCACCAGAGTAGCTCCAGTTCCTAACATGTAGTAGGTCCTAAATAGATATTTGTTAAATGAATGGGTGGATGAGTGAATGTAGATTCTCTTCCCAAACCCACCTCTCCACAGCTGCTCATTCTTGAGCAACTTATTCCCCTCTCTGAGCTTCCTCTTCCTCGTCCCTAACATGGGAGAGTTGGTTGAGATGATTTCTAAAGCCCTTCCTGCTCCTATCCCGTTAAGGGCTATTTAAAGGCTTTCTGTGTCCTCTGGGCAGATGCGTTATCTCCTAGGGAGGTCTACTTCCTCCTCACAGCCAAGAGAAAATGGCTTCTTTAAGATTAACTTGGAATTCCAGCTACTCATTCCCTCCCACCCCCCTGCCTTTTTTTTGTTTTTTTGTTTTTGTTTTTGTTTTTGTTTTTGTTTTTGTTTTACCTTCCAAGTAGCTAGGACTACAGGTGTGTGCCACCTAGTTTTTGTATTTTTTGTAGCGATGGGATTTCACCATGTTGCCTAGTCTGGTCTCAAACTCCTGGGCTCAAGTGATCCACCCACCTCCACCTCCCAAAGTGCTGGGATTACAGGCATGAGCCACAGTGCCCAGCCTTCACCTGTTTTTTTGGTTGTTGTTGTTGTTGTTTGTTTATTTTTGAGACGGAGTTTTGCTCTTGTTGCCCAGGCTGGAGTGCAATGGTGCGATCTCAGCTCACCACAACCTCCACTTCCTGGGTTCAATCGATTCTCCTGCCTCAGCCTCCAGAGTAGCTGGGATTACAAGCATGCACCACCACGCCCGGCTAATTTTGTATTTTTAGTAGAGATGCGTTTTCTCCATGTTGGTTAGGCTGGTCTCGAACTCCCAATCTCAGGTGATCCATCTGCCTTGGCCTCCCGAAGTGCTGGGATTATAGGCTTGAGCCAGCACAGCCGGCCTCACCTCCATTTTTAATGATCTGTGTGATCACCAGCTTTGGAGTAAACCCAGAAATTTGAATTTTGTCTCTGAAATTTACCAGTCTGAGACTGTGGGTAACTAATCATGTAAACTCTTTGAGTCTTGTCTGCAAAATGAATATATGAACAAAATGAAGAGAAATATGTGAGTTGATACAGACCGCATGAGGCTAGGGTGAAGGTGAAATGAAAATGCATGTGTAACATCCTTAGCATAGTGCCTGGTACCTACTTGGTGCTGAATAGATGCTACTTTTCTTTCTTCTTCCACATGCATGACTGGAACAATAATTAATATGGGAATGGAAGTCTGGCATTGTTGGCATATTCAGGTCATGGCAATATTATACATTATTATGTTCCCAAGCACTTTACCAGCCAATGTTGCAAGCTATCCAGAAAAGAGATTAATTATCCCCATTTTACAGATGAGAAAAGTAAAGCCTAGAAGGTTAAAATGGCTTGCCCAGGATTACAGTGAATTAGTGGCAGAGCGGGAGGTTTAAGTTTCACACTCCTGGTGCCCATTTCTCTCTGTGTTCTTTTCAACTTTTCTGCAACTTTCGGCTTCGGTTTATTTAAAAGTCAACCCATTTCAAAGAACGCTGGCTCTGTGAATGGTTTAAATAACACAGACATTCCCCATAGATGGTACTCATACCATGCCTGAGAATCTCTTCTATCGTCCTCCAGATGTGCAAAACCACATTGGAAAGATTGAAAGAGCTATACATCTCTAGGTAGACCAATTCTGCAGGAAGAATTACAGCTGATAAATTCTTGGCTTGTCTTGCTGACAGTTCCCTGCTCGGCTGGCAGAGGAAGCAGCAAGATCTGCCATTCTGGACTTGATTTAGATCAATAAGGGACAACTGACTGGTTGCCTGGAAATGATGAGGAAATGAAAGAAACAGGTCAGCATGGAATCTGCAGGGGGTGAAGAGAGGAAACCCCAGGCGCTAAACTTTGATAATGCAGCTGTCAAACGGGAAGTGAAATATGAACTTGATCCCGGGAACTGACTCTTCAAAAAAGCAAAACACCTCAAGTTGGATAACAGGACCCTCAAAATGAGTCTGACAATATGATTTAAAACATTCCTAGCCAGAGATAAAAGAAGATAGTTTCAGAAATGAATGTGGCTGCACAGATAGAACCTATGTTTTAGGTAGGGTCCTTTTGGGTGCAAGTAACAAATTCACTTTGAGTTAACTTAAAAAATCAAATAAAGAGGAATGCATTTAAAGGTTTCTGGGACAAATTAAAAAACCTAAGGGCAGCTAAGCCTGTGTAGCTTGTTGTGAATCTCAAGCAACAAACTCAGATATACGAGAATATTGAATGGCTTTCTTTTATTAAAATCAACTTACATCTGGGTTTGATGCTCTCATTTTGCCAGGCTGGAGGGACACAAAATTTTGATTGTTTTGGAGACATCCTCACCCAACTTCATCCAAGAGGATACCAGAGAGCAGAGGAAGCCTCTCCAGCATTTGGTCAGCAGTCCAGAGTGTCCACGCGTTGTTCCATTTTTCCTGCTGTTTTAGTCTGCATTTCAGATCTAGCAGCTCTACTCCTTTCCTGCTATATGAGAAAGGATTCTATATTACTGAATGTGAAAGTTAAAATACCAATGACTCAACTAAGATAGAAGTTTACTTCCCGGGCCAGGCACGGTGGCTCACGCCTGTATTCCCAGCGCTTTGGGAGGCCGAGGCAGGCGGATCACTTGAGGTCAGGAGCTCAAGACCAGCCTGACCAACATGGTGAAACCCCGTCTCTGCGGAAAACACAAAAATTAGCTGGGTGTGGTGGCAGACGCCTGTAATCCCAGTTACCAGGGAGGCTGAGGCAGGAGAATTGCTTGAACCTGGGGGGCGGAGG